>NC_000003.12:171129816-171281331 GCF_000001405.40 Homo sapiens | reverse complement strand
GTCAAAGCTTGTTGACTGTGTAATGCCATTTCTCTTCCTCACCAACTTTAAGGTTTTTTATATGAGAAAGGGCATGGGAGGCTGTCACCGACCTTTCTTCTCTTCTATTACAATGCTTTACCTTCAGACTGCCATTTTTTTTTTTGAGGCCAAAGAGAAATAGAAAGTAACTTCTATCCAAGCAAAACCTGGGGACCCTAGATCTAGTCCATCTCAATTGAACCAGAATGTTTCCTACTAATAGATAAAATCTATTTTTGTTTAATACTATGCCATTCCATAAAGACATGATTATTCCTTAGCTTCTCCAAAGGGATACTTACTGAAAGTGTAGCTGAGACTGTTTATTCAGTAGGTTCCTAAGCACCATCTGCTTTACTGAGTGTTCTAGATTTTGTCTAGGTTATTCCTGTAGAGCCATGGTCAGCATTATAGTAACATAACAGCATATATAGTAACATATAGTAATAGAGAAATATCTATTTTTACTTTATCAGTAATAAAGTATTAGCTCTGATTTATGGTAACAGGATAGTCTTAAAGCTTATAGATCTGATATTAAGAACATTTTATATAATGTTATATATCAACATTGTCTTTTAAAGTGATGGATGCTTTTATTTCATCTTTTGGTTTATCTCTGAAAGATCATTCTTTTGGATACAGTTTTTTTTTTTTTTAATTTAGAGACAGTTTAGACTTCATAGTGTCATGATAATTTTCAAGTTGGTATCAACAGGAATAACAAAAGGAACCAAGATTTGAAACATCTGTAAATAACAATAACTTTTATTGACCAACAATATAGTATGTGCCAGGCACAGTGCTAAGCATGTTAGCACATTTCCTTACATCACACTATGAGCTGTAAATATTGTCTCCACTTCACAGATTTTAAAAACTGAGGTTCACAGAGGTTAAGTGCCTGATCCAAAGACACATAACTTGTAAGTGGTGGACCCAGGAAGCCAGAGCCTGGTACAGGGTATTCTGTTGCCTCTTAGAACCCAAGATTTTTCTCACCCAGTTCAAAAATTCTCATCTACAGTGGTCAGCAGCTGTGAGAACTGTTGAGTCTCAGTCAAGACTCACATGATTATCTGGTTCCTAGGCAAGGGTTAAGGCCATGCCAAGAGATGTGAAGCAGAAGGATGTGGCAGATTGACTGGTGTGATATGGGGTGTGGTGCCCATCCATTCATGAGTGCCACATAGCCGGGAGGGAACGTGCGAGACATAGATTCTAATTCAAAAGGGAACAGATTCCAGATGGGAAAGTACTTGGCTAATTGTATTCAAGTTAGCTCACACTTATAGAACTGTAGAACTGTAACATTTCCTGAGGGCAGGAGTGGATGGATCTTTTTCTTTATGGTGCATGAACTATTAGTAGGTATGTACTGATACCTGGGGGAGTAAGATAGATTCTGAAGGAGTCTAGAACCAGACTACATGTGTTTGAATCCCAGTTTTACCTCCTATTAGCTTTGTAGGTTTGGGCAATTTAAATAATCTCTCTGTAATTCAGTTCATCTCATCTGCAAAATGGAGATGATCATAATACCCCCATGTAGGGTTGCTGTATTAAGTAAATGATAGGTGTGAAATGCTTAGAACAAAGGCATTTGTCATCATCATCATCATCGTCATTGCTATTGTCAAAAAATGTTAAGTGCACTTAATAGTTGCCTTGGATAGAGCAGCTCAAAGCCCTGACCAAATTATGAACCATTTTGAGAGTCATTAAATTAGCAGTATTGGAAATGGATGCCAATAGCCAGAGTTGGCAAGGGGGTGGCTATGTGGCACAATCATGTATTTGCAGTGGGAGGGCAAATCGGTATAATTCTTGGAAGATCAGTTAGGAGAGCTGTTATCAAATATCCTAAAAAAGTATAAGTCCTTTGACCTAGGAGTTCTGTGTCTAAAAACAATTTGACCAAAAGCCTAAACTGTCTACAAGGATGTTAAATGAAGATATTAAAAATATATAGAATTTTATGTTTATGGACATGGAAATATTTGAAAACAAAGTAAATAGAAAAAAGCAAACTATAAACACTTTATAGGAGGATCTCATTAAAAATATGTCTTGGTAGATATCTTCAGATGACTTTTGTTTTAGTTTATTTTAAAGCTAGAAGTAATAGATTAACATCCCACTTTCAAAATTTGTTTACCTTTAGGTTTTTTTTTTCTTTTTGCTAGTTAGACATGATTTTGTCCAATAATGTCTGCATATAAACTCTTCATCCAAATACCAAGAATTAGGAAATCCTGCTAGAAGACTTGTTCTCCCCTAAAAAGAAGAATTGTGTAATGCTTCCTCATCAGCCTGCCTGAGGTATGCAACAGGCTCCAATCAATAATAGTGCTCAGTACTGTACAATTTCTCACTAACTTGGGGCAGTATCATTTAAAAATATCCCCCTCCACCCTGAAATTCTGATACAATTCTATACCCTCTAACATCTCATATCCACTGAGAATCCCAGATATGGAATAAAAGTTTTTGTCACAAGCATAAGTTCTTTTGACAGTCAAGTGGTTTCTGTGCAGAAAGACCTACTGTGAACTAGCTAATGCTAAGAGGTATGATTGTTTGATATTAATTCTTAATACATAATTTAGGCAAAGTCACCCCTTGTCATTTGGGAGGATACTCCTGTTTTTTAATGGTTTCCTTAGCAGACTATCACTTACTTTCCTATTTGGTCTTCCCATGAATTGGATTTACCTCCAGGTTATATGGCAATTTAAAGGATTGTGATGAGAAAGACCAAGGTCATGGCATTCAGACTAGTGTGGCTTTTTTTGGTTTCTTTATGTTTTTAAATTTTTTTTATCTTTTTTAAAAAAATAAGTATCTATAGGATATCTTTGAATGCCCAGCTGCTGAGTCTTTGGCCTAGAATGCTGAATACTTATGTTGATGTTGATAAGCTTCATTCTCATATCCACATTGAGAAACAAGCAGAAATTCATTGTTATGTGAGCATGTAAAGGCTGCTCTTTTTTGGACAGCATGTAGCAATTAAAAGACAAGGGCTGGGTTCTTACTGTCATCTGAAAGGTTAGGAGAATTCTAGTCTCATGACAGACTTTTTCCATTATTGTGAAAGGGAGAGAGGGATCTTGTGCATATACCCAACTGGGGCCCACAAATCCCCTTTTACATGTCCCAGTCAGAAAACATTAGACACTAGGTCTCGAGGCATGTCATGTTCGTCCCCATCGGGTGAGCTATATGTGCATGAGAGAGGCAGCCCCCAACTTAGAACCTGTTTTGTTGTGTTTGTTTGTTTGAGACAGGGACTTGTTCTGTCACCCCTGCTGGAGTGCAGTGGCATGATCATGGCTCCCTGCAGCCTCTAATCCTGGGCTCAAGCGATCCTGCCAACTCAACCTCCTGAGTTGAGTAGCCACAGGTGCACAGCACTGCATCTGGCTTGACTCTTTTTAAAAAGTCAGCTTGGCTATAGATAACATTTTCCCAGAAAATTAGTGTTTCAAATCAGAGATCTGTAAACCTTTTCTATAAAGGGCCACATAGTAAATATTTTAGGTTTTGCAGTCTGTAGGTCTCTGTTGCAACTACTCAACTCTACTGTTGTAGCAGAAAGCAGACTTACACAATATGTGAACAAATGTGTGTGACTGTGTTCCATTAAAACTTCATTTACAAAAACAGGCACTGAGCAGGGTTTAGTTTGCTAACCCCTGCTATAAACAATTATTCATTTCCTAAACCAGCCCACAGAAACTCCTCTGGTAAGTTGCTGATACGTTGTACATTTACAATATTATTTTCTCTGAAATTTGTTTTTTTTTTAATCAAAATAGTGTTAGGCCTTGTCTAAAAGTAACACATTTCTAATTAATACTTCCCGAACCTGTTCCCCAAAAGCAACTACTTTTTTCTCTTTTAGCTATTCTGAATGTTATCTTCAAATCTCAATGAAATAGGCTTTTATTGTTGTTTCTTAATTTATTAGTGTCTTAGTCTGTTTTGTGCTGCTATAACAGAATGCCATAATTTATAGAGAAATGAGAATAACTTATAAACAATAGAAGTTTTTTGGCTCACAGTTCTGGAGCCTAGGAAGTTTGAGATCTCAAGGTCAAGGGGCTCTATCTCATAAGGGCCTTCTTGCTGCATCATAACATGGCTGAAGGCACCACGTGGGATGAGAGTATGCACAAGGGAGAGAAGGGAAGGGGGCCACGTTTATCCTGTGTCACCCACCCCTGAAATAATCACTTTAATTCATTCGTGAGGGCAGAGCCCTCATGACCTAATCATTTCTTAAAGCTTCCACCTCTCAACAGTGTTGCATGGGAGATTACATTTCCATTGCATGAACTTGGAAGGACACATTTAAAGTATAGCAATCTAAAGCATAGACTTTCTGCTAAAATAGATAGGAATTTAGTTTTCCGATATCCTCACATGCCAATTTCTCCGAACACATGATATAATTTGTTTTTTGTTTCTCTACTTTTTACTGCAATAAACATTCATAGTTTAAAAGTTTACTTCTTAAGTATGCATCTTGATGAATTTTTTATTACCAAACAGTATCTTTTAGATTCCCTACTTTGTAAAATTAGGCTCTTGGCACCCCTGCACTCTCCACTTCTTTTTACTTTTATATAATACAGATCATGATATTTCATTTTATTTTGTAAGTACATTTAAGTCTTTAAGCTTTATCAAAAGGTTAATTCTAAAAATTGAAAATCAATAAATATTATTTGTGACCTATTTATAGTGGAGCTAATGATCATTATAGTTTAATTTTCTTGTTCGTATGGCTGTTTGTTTTTATGGAATTTCCAAATGCCATTTTCCCTTATGCTTTTGACCCTTTAATCACAGCTTCCACTTTTGACATTTTCCGACATCCAAGTTCACTTTGATGGAGTTTTTTCCCAGCCCCTCCTCCACAGGTTCCTCCATCTTTCTGCTCCCTAGGCTTGATGCTTACCTGTCACTCTGGAAGTTCCTCCTTCAGATCCACTGGTTCCTGAAAACTATCCTGTCTTCATTTCAGGTTCACTCCTTCATTTTGGTTGTACATATCTTCAATGATCTTCCTATAAAAGGGTGTGGAGGGGCTAACTTTTCTTAGTCTTTGAATGTTTAAAAATGTTTTGTTCTATTTTCATCTTTGGTTGATGATTAGGATGAATATAGAATTCTAAGATGAAAATTATTTTCGTCCAGCTCCTTTCTTCAGCATTTGTGGAGTGGGTGTTGAGAATGGAGTGGAGGGGAAGAGTAACTTCTCAGTAGGAACTACATTTGTCTGCAGTCTTCAGGCTTGCTCTTGAAAAGTCTAATACCATTCTAATTCCTATTCCTTTGTAGAGGGCCAGTTTCTTTATTTTCCTCTATTTTTTTAATTTTTTATTATTTATTTATTTATTTATTTTGAGACGGAGTCGCGCTCTGTCGCCCAGCTTGGAGTGCAGTGGCACGATCTCGGCTCACTGCAAGCTCCGCCTCCCGGGTTCACACCATTCTCCTGCCTCAGCCTCCCGAGTAGCTGGGACTACAGGCACCCACCACCACGCCCGGCTAATTTTTTTGTATTTTTAGTAGAGACGGGGTTTCACCATGTTAGCCAGGATGGTCTTGATCTCCTGTCCTCATGATCCGCCCACCTTGGCCTCCCAAAGTGCTGGGACTACAGATTTTCCTCTTTTTATATGGAAACACATTTTATGATAACTTCAAATTCTGAAATCAAGTCATAATTTTGTGAGAAATTAGAATCTTTTCTGATTCATCCTTCTATTTAATTTTAAAAATAATTTTCTATTAGTAAGATTTTTTCTAGTTTACTTCTTCCATTTTCATAGCATTCTCTTCTTGTTTTATGGTTATAATATTTTCTTGGCTCTCTTTTAAATTTTTGAAATTCTTTTCTATTGCCTGTCTTATGTGTATTTCCTTCAGAACTATTTCCTCCATTTATTCATCTCATTTGTATTCTTTCTTGTTGGAGGCTTTCTTCATATAACTGGTAACCATGATTGGCTATTCATAATTAAGAGTGAAGCCATTAAACAGCTGCCTTGTGACTCTCTATGTGGGCTTTGTTTTATGATATTTGAATGAGTTGGTGTCTGAATGTGCTTTTTCTCTGAATCTTCCAATTTCTTTTTAAAAGATTGCTCCAAATTTCTTTTTGTATGTGTGTGTGTGGTTGGGGGTAGGTGGTGTCTGGGTTGATGGAGAGGAGGAGAGGGAGGAGAAAAAAGAGAGATTATTAGTTGGCAGAATGGAGAGGGGCATAGGGTAGGGGTTAATGATTGGTTGCCTCACATACATGATTTCAGATAATTTGTTTTTCCTGCCTCACAGCTCATGCTCATTCTCTGGCCTTCGAAGAATCTCAAGTTTTGCCCAGTTTTGCAAGATTAATTGGGTCCTGCCCATAAATTTCTACACTGTAGATTCTTCTGCCCTGTTTCATTAATTATCACCCTTCCATTTTGTCTCTTTTAGAAAGAGGCTTATTTGGACCTCCTCAGGATATTATGCCATTTTAAATTTCTTAACTCAATTTAGTGAGGTTGATTAAAGAAGAGAAGATCAAGATCAACTTGTGTGGTCAATTGGTAGTCACAATATTGTTTTCTACATTTCTATTTTGAATTATTAGACAATATTTTATTCTGCTGTCCATTTTATAGCTGCATATATGTTGGCCTGCCAATTTAACCTTCATCTATCTGAGAATTACTTGAAACTCAGGCTGCTAGGACCATATTTCTATCTTATATTATAACATTTTTATATTACTTTACTTTTCTTAACTTCCCCCTCCTGGCTTGTGTGATGCTTGGCTGAGACTCAAGGGGCTGTAGAAGATATCTTCTCATTCATTATGCAGCCAGTAGCTATGAGTTGCTTCTGAAGTGGTTTCCAGTCCTTCCTGGGCTCGGTCTCTATAAGCAACCTGAGAGAGAGTGGCTCAGTTTATCTATAACTCTGACAATAAATTGTATTTTGATAAGTTGGAGTAGCTTCATGTGATGTTCCTTGCTTTTCAGCCCTGAAAAATCCAGACATCTCAGATTAATTCTTGAGAATTACAGAAAATTGGAATGAGGATGTTCATGTTTCTTGTGTGCCTTTCCCTTTGTTAAGCGTTTTCCTTGTATGCTAAAGAATGCTCACAGGTTGGTCTTCCTCTGGGATAGAGGGCCCTGGGGCTCTTGTTTCACTTTAAACACAGAAATAAACATTTTTGAAAATGGAAGCTAACTCACTTTCTCACTCCAATTTCATATTGCTCCTTGTGGATATATGTCTATATTCTGTAAGATGAGGTAGAGAAATCAGGATATTGGGGTGACAGTGCTTAATCTCTTAGGAAAACTTATGTCTTCATTGTTGTTTCAGGCTTCTTCATGAAAGTTTAAAGTAAATCAGGCTGTTAATTCACAGATATTCTCACTCTAATGTCCCTCCTGGAAAACCAAAACAGAACAAATAGTTTGCAAGGTTCATTATCAGTTGTCATGACATCTCTTACCATTTCTATACCACTTTCTTAAGGCTCTATTCACATTTTTATTTTTTAAAAAGGTCGGGTTTTTTGAGCAACATAAAACTTTGAGTCTCAAGTTTTGAGACTCTCAGAGTTAAAAAGTTATTAAGCTATAGGCTGTGGAGAGGGGGCAGATGGAAGAATAGGACTCGCCAGTGATCATCTCTCCACAGAAACATTAATTTGAACAACTATCCATGCGTGAAAATACCTTCTTAAGAGCTGAGGAAACCAAGTGAGAGATCATAGTACCTGGTTGTAGCATAATATGAAAAGATGCATTGAAGAGGGTAGGAGGGACAGTTCTACATTACTCACTTGCATCACCCCTACCCCAGCCCCAGGCAGCACAATGCAGAAAGATACTGTCCACTTTGGGAAAAGAGAGGGAAGTAAGCACAAGACTTTGCCTTGCACCCCAACACCAGGCCCACTACAGTAAAGCCCAGAACCAGGAAGGCCTCCATGGCCCAAGACTATGGCTGGTACCCACAGATTGAACCTCCAGACTCACCTTGGCATCAGGTGGGTCCCTGTAGCTCCAGGCTTTAGACTTTTGAGGCAGACTTGATCTCTGGTCCGCATCTCTAGTGGGCTGACTCTAGCACCCCTGGAATTTAGACAGTTGTCAGCAGCACAGAGGTCTCAGTGGCCTGGGTCTTTCAGCTTGCTCTGGTGCTCCCCTGGGCTTCTAACTTGTGTGAGCGCCACACTGGCCCTAGCAGCCATGGGCTTCTGATCATACATCAGATGTCCTGACCAGAATCTCTGGTTGGGCTGTTGAAGGTGTTCCCAGACAAAGCCAATCTGTGAAGACTGGAATATCTATTTATTCAAATGCACAAACATCAGTACGTGGCCATAAGGGTACAATCAGGGAAACCTGACCTCACCCAAGGGACAAAATAAAGTGCCAGTGACTGACACTAAGAAAATGGAGATATATGAACTGCCTGACAAACAATTCAAAATAATGGTTTTAAGGAAATTCAGAGAACCTCAAGAAAACACAGAGGAACAACTCAGTGAAATGAGAAAAACGATAAGTAACCAGAATGAGAAATTTAACAGAGATTGAAATAAAAAAAATCAAATTCTGGCACTGAGAAATACAATGAAGGAAATGAAAATGCAAGACAAAGCATCAACAGCAGAATTGATCAAGTAGAAGAAAGAATCTGTGAATTTGAAGACAGGTTATTTAAAAATGTACAGTCAGAGGAGAAAAAAACAAAAGAAATGAGAAAAACATATAGGATTTATGGGACAGCATCAAAAGACCAAACGGACACTTCAGGGATTTTCCTTCATGGCTCCCCAACTGTCTCGATGTGTACGGTGCCATCTTAGGAAAGACCCCTTAGCAATTCATGGCTGAAGAGCTCTAGCTCATAATTTAAATGTGAACATTTCTTTCTCAGGCCTGGCTTCTGGATCTTGGAATTCTCCAGAGATTGATACTGCAATTGCCTTCTCTGTCATTGAAGCCCTTGGTACCCACACCTTGCCCTGCAGACCTCAACAGGAGGACTTTGTTAGTCCCAACACCAGTCATGGCTCCAGTCGGGTGGGATGGGGGAAAGTCAAAGACAGTCTGTAAGTGATGCATGTGTTTGCATGGTGGCCAGGAACCAGCAGAGGAAGCTAGTTTGTCTATTCTTTTCTCTCGCTGTCATCACGTAGTGCCTTTACCATCTCCGGGTGGTGGCTATAATCATATGGACTCCTTCTATGGACCCAGTTTCCTGAACTTCCCAGAAAGAAACAATTCAACAATTAAGTTTAACAAATGTTTTGGGTGCCTGTTGTGTCAAGGAAAGCACATAAAGCAGACTTTAATTCTTTAAGGGGTTCAGGCAAGAATCTAATGCTCAAAGGTAATTCTGAGAATTAAACATAATTGGAACTTAGTTATTTAAATCTAATTTTTTTTGTAAACAGATGTGAGTCCTAGCATCTTACATGTCAATTAATTTTTTCTTTTAAATTCGGGTTTGAAAGTTATATATAATAGGTTGTAGCACACTGTTCTAGGCACATTTCTGGATTTAGACATGATTAAGACATGGTCCCTTTCCTTTAAGAACTTAATACATATAAATAACAAAAGTCAAAACAGTCATAAATATTTTAATAAAATAGCTTTCCCATAAAAAGTGCTCTGGGAACACATGAGAGGTAGAGATTAATTTTGAGAAGTGTTTTTATGGAGGAAATGGCATTTGGTTTTAATCTTGAAGAACAAGTAAGATTTGAACAGATGGACATAAGTGTTTCCAGGGTGAAGGCCCATCTTTAGCATAGGCTTGGAGACAGGACACACAAGGTGAGTTAGAGGGTGTGTATTGGATAGGTCATGGAAATGATGTTTGAAAGTTGTCTGGATCTTCTTGTAAATGAGTCTCGGTACCAGGCAGGGGAGCTTGAACTTGATGTTTATGATCTTGGAGTGAAGCCAATAATTACTATTTTCTTTTTAAAAAGTATCTGGCTCTTAGAAAATTCTAAGAATAATGCAGAAGTGCAAGTAAATGCTAGAACTATTAGAGTTGGCAACACAGGTAGGAAACGTGCGCAATTAGAAAAGAATTGTTGCAGAACTTGAAGACTGAGGTTTCAAACCCTGGCACAGTAAGAATAAGCTTGTCCTTAGGGTAAGCCAGAACCCAATCTCTCCCTCTCAGATGTAGTGAGTCTCTACCATGTATCAGGCAGTGTACTCAGAGGATGCAGAGTGAGTGAGAAATATCCCTGAATTCAGCTTAGCAGTAGAGCCAGAAAGGTAAACAAATGAGTGTTGTATTAAATGCACTTGCAAAGTACCATTGTGAAATGAAATAACAGGAACAATAATGACTATCATTTAAAATCCACTTGTTATGTGCCAGACTCTGTTGTAATCACTTTACATCTGTTAACTCATTTAACCTCTATGAAGCAGGAACCTTTATTATCCCCATTATGTAGATTAAAAAACTGAGGCACTGAGTGTGAAGTAACTTTCCCAAAATCATCCAACTAGACAGTGGTATAGAGGTAGGATTCAACCCCTATTTTTTGTGGCTAACAACTATACCTGTCAGGAAACAGCTGGGGCAGTAGGCAGGGGTGAGAGAGGAGTGAGAAAAGATGGGGATGGGTATTTCAGGAAATGAAATTAACACATGTAAAGGCATAAGGAGAATTTGAGAAAGATAGTTGGCGATTAGAGACGAATTTTACTTTGGGTCTGATTTCAATTGCTGGTGTGATATTTAGGTGGGAATGCCTCACTAACGATGTGGGTATTTTTGGAGAAGTCACCAGGCATTTTCTCTCTGGCCTCTTTCCTCTCCATGTTAACAGTCGCTCTATAGTGGTGCTCCACATACATTCCATCTCTGTATGAACAGGGAAGTAGCTGTCAGTGAGGAAGATGTAGTACTGTCTTCTAGCCTTTTCCTAAGTGGTCCAATTGCTCATTAAGAATCCACTCCAACTTAGTAACCAAACAGTATTGTAAATATTGATACTACGGGGGTATTCTCATGACCCAGTTGCCCCCAGCCCTTAAGGAACTTAAAATTTAGTGAGTGACCTACCCAACTGTGGCAGTATCTGAGTAGCTCCTTCTAAACTTAGAAAGATGGGGTTAACTAAGGATAAATAATTATCTTCACAGTTTCCAAGCAGAAATTGAACTGCTCAAAGTAAGTGTGTAAATGTGGGTGTATATGCATGTGTGAATATGTGTGTGGGTGTGTGAGTTTATTTTCTATTGAGATGGAGGAATCATAGGTAAGTATGACTGATCTCATAGATGAAGAAGTAAAAAGCTTCCTAGTTATTCAGTGTACTTAAACTTCTCTGAAACTTATTTTAGGTTAATGAAGGAAAATATTTGAGGTTCTTGCCTTAGAAGAATTGCCTTAGTAGTCCCTCCCCTAAAATGTTTTTATTCTGACCTTGATGCAAGAGTCAGTAAAGACCATTTCAGCAGTGATTGTCACATATCACCTTCCCTCTAAACATGAAGCAAAGTGAAACTATAATCTCTCCAGCATAGGCTGTTTCAGTGGTCTTTCATGTAGGAAGCTCTGAAGTAACACCAGCCCCAGCTGTGCTTTTTGGGATAACTATTTCATAATAAGAAAGAAATCATATTTTGAGACAACAGCAACAAAAAGCTGATATTGTGTCTGTGGTTCTGTTTTGAGTGCCACCACTGAATTAAAGCTATCCAAGGAAATGAAACATCGAGGTTGGGGGAACATTGTGTGATGTATGTTGGCTGAAATACTAAACACTCCAGTATAACATCAATATATAATTTGTATGGTTACAAATATTATTGGCATAAATAATTCATGCTGCTGCTTTGTATTTACTTGATTAACAGCGTCTTTGTCATTTTTGTCAGTCATGATGCCATTGCAATCTTGCACATTGTGTTTAAAGAATACTCGGGGAAATGTTTCAACTGTGTGTCTGGATGGTATAATGTATTTATTCATTTAGTCAGATGAAATGAAAGAGAGAGTGTTTAATATGCATGCCTGCATTATACTAGCTACTCTCTAAATAAATTACAGACAGTATTACTCCCTTTCATTGTAAGAAAAATTATAGTTTGATTTTTTTCAAGTAGCCAACATGCTGCCATTTTGTACTTTTAATTACAAATTTTTGAGGTTTTTCAAATGAGCTTTGAATAATCCTGAATATTTTTGTATTGAGATGTCAATAGGAAAACTTTGGTAACTTGAGTGGGCTATATCAAGTGAGAATTGAATTACTCTGCAAAAGAAGGTAAAATAAGTTTTCTACTTGTGGGTGAATATACTTCTGGAAAGTATAAATTCTTGTGACAGAGCCATGCCTTTGAATTTGCATCACTCCATGTAGCAGCCGTTGTTTTGGCTATGGAAGTACTTCCCAGAGCTGCCAACTGTAACTTCACTGGCATTGTCTATTTTGTCCCTCTTCCAATTCTCTTTCCTACTTCCTGGAGCCTGGACCTCTGGCCTGTCCAATGCCTTCCCTTGCAGCACACCACCCAGCCCTTCTTTCTTTGATTACCTTTCCCTCTGTCTTTCTCCCAAAAGAAAACTCCATTCCTACAGCTAGTCTCTGCTTGAGGTTAGATTTCATGGGGTGATTGAAGTAATTCATGCTCAGGTTTGGATGACTGGTATCAAAGAAAACCAGAGCTGGACATCAGTTAAAGCAGTACAAAGAGATTTTACTCAGGACCTTTGCAATATAGGGAAAGAGACCTTAGTATAGAACAGGGTTCAATTCTGAATACACCAAGTGGCAGGGTGGAGATTTAAAGCCAAGTAGCAGAGTAGGGAGGTCAATGGATAGAAAATTACTAAGGGAGTAGGGATAATTCTTGTTTACTGGCCTCACAGGATTCTGGCTGAAGGCAGGCTAGGATGATCAGATATTACGTGGGGGATGATGGGGGCTGAGGAAGATGATCACATAGCAAAGGTGAGGGATTCTGCCTAAACCAACTTGTCAGGACTCTTGCTAAAATTAGGCAACATAAAGACACACACGGAAGTCCAAAAGTCGAGGCCTGGTTGGGAAGAGGATTTAGAAGAGCCTGACTAAAAGTTTGGTCAATGAGAGACTGTATCACTGGGAAGCATAATATTCTATGAGGAGGGGTTGTATTTTAAATGAGGAGCAAATCAACTCCCAATCAGGCTCAAGTTTTGAGACGGTTTTCCAGAAGGACTCCTCAGAGTGTAGTCTTGATGTGGTGCAATGGAAGGGTCATGCTGAATTTCTTCTGATGAAGAATGAAAGGGTGGCTGAGGCTCTGGGGCCATCAGCAAGGCTTGCAATTGGCAGGGAGTGGATATGAGGTCTTTCTTGAATATTGTTGAATCCGTAGGTCCTAGTACAGACCCTGGCATAAATGGTGGGAGCTCAGTAAACCTGTTCAATAAATGAACGAGTTTCACAGATGAGGAAGCTGACACATGGAGAACGTGGAGAACTTTGCTCTGTTTCCTTTCACATATCAGTTAGGTAAAAAGTTGCCTTTATTTCTCCTGCCCTATCTAAAAGGCTGTAGTCACTAGATAATTGCCAGTCCTTTGCTCATGGATGGCACTGTAATTTATCCTTACGATAAGATGTTATTAATAGGCTGATTTCCATATAAGTATTTAGTCTCTGGAATCAGAAAGATGAGGACAAAGCATTTTACAGTCACACTAGCACATTTTTGAACTCACGTCCATTTCCCATGACTGGAACATTCAGCTTATGAACATGTAGCCAATGGAGAGAAGGATAAATCAGACCTGGGAGTCTCTGAGTTTTGACTTCAGGCTCCTTTCAGTCTTGCCAAGCTGCTTTTCTGAATTAAGTATATTCCCTTTGCTGTATCTTGTTTCATTTTGGAAGAGACTGGCCCTTTACTTTCTCTCAGAACCTGCTGAGGCAGGAATTCTTTGGTACTGTATTGAACAAAGCCAGGTAAAGAGAGCAGCCCTTACACCAGCAGCTTTGGCTGGATTTCTGAGAACCTCTTGGCTCTTCTTAGCAAGATGTCAATTCTGTACTTACCAGTTCTTCTACCGTGACTCAGATTGAGTGAATACTACTATAACCCTAAGATGGTTAGATCAAAAACTCTCCTGTAATTTACATTCTGAATAATAATTTTTAAATGAATCCTTTAAAAAAGTTAAATGCATCCTAAGAAATAGAACATGGATTTATCTGTGCCAGTTTCTTATCAAGAGGAAAAAATTTATAATGCTGAAAATGCCATTTGCCTTGTCTAGGCTTCTCATTATAAGAGAGGCATTTTACATGGCAATCTGAGAGTGAAATGTTTTTGGATTTTACACTGGCCAGGCTGTTCTGAACAGACTCTGAGTGAAAATAGTCAAATATGATAATCATCTGCTTTGGAGAACAGAAGGAAGCCGGTTTAACTTAAGCTGGACTGATTTTTTAAACTTGGAAGACACTGACTTCTGGTTTCTCAAGAAAGGCCAGAGGAAGGAAGTGTTTTCAAGGCACTCTATAATTTTTTCAGATTGTTTTACCAAATTTCTGCTTGGTTCCTTTTGTATAAAATGTACTCTATTCCTGCAAAGGCTCAGGTTTTCCCATGGAAGCATGCAGATTTCACAACTCTGTTGAATGAGATAACTTGGCAAATCTCACAGACGTGCAGTGGAGCAGAGTGACATAATGAGGTCTGAAGACCCTAAGTAGGCGTTTCAAATGCATAAAGAGGAGCCCAGTCATTCTCTGTGTGCCCAGGTGACAGCCTGGGTTGGGGGCAACCTAAGGAAGAGTCATTCCTCTCTACTTTGAGAAAAGATGAAAGGAAACTGAGAGGGAAAGATTCCTCCAGAAGGTGTTTGCTTTGTTTTCCCACTCTTATGTATTAGACCCTAATGTAGGCTTTTTTTATTTAAAATAATATTGGAATCCTTTATCTCCTTAGCAGTTACCTCCTGGGAAGGGTGGTGAATGACAATTTAATTCCTGGAAATGTTAGCAGCTTACAATACTTTTGTTTCATTTTCTAAAACTCAAGTCCACAGTCCTTTGTCAACAATGATCTCAACTGTGGAAGAGAAACTTTTCCTTTCCTGCTATTTTCTTCCTTTTTCTCTTCTCTTTCCTCCTATCTTCCCCCCATCTTTTCTTCTTTCCCTCCTTTTTTTCCTCTCTCAACCCTGACAGCTTCCTGGGCCCGTGCCGCATTTACATCTGCCACCTTTTGATTCTAGATTGCATTTGGAAGTATGCTGGGCCATGTCATGTATCTGAATTGGAGGTGCCATGACAGCCTGGCCGGCTATGTCTGGGGACCCCAGGAGCCATGGGATAACTGAACAGCCAACTGCAGATTCTTATTTGATAATTCTTTCCCTTCTCATGATTTTAAAAAGGAAAAAAAAATAATGCTTATTTAAAGCAATCACTAGTGACTCAGATCAACCCTCCTTAGGACTCAACCACTGTCCAGTCTCTTTTTAAGATTCCACTTTCCCTCTGTTTCCCCAGTAACCTTGATTAATTACATTAATATTGGCTTATCACATCCCTGGTAGCTTTCACAAAATGAATCACCTTACAAAGATAATTTTAATTACCATTCCCTTGCAACCTTTAACCATTCTTGCATATGTATTTTGTTGGTAGCATCTGCTTGAATTGCAAATGCAAAGAAATTAAACACTTTAAGAGTGGCTTTCTTCCAGTTTTGTTTTTCACCAGTTTTGAAATCTCTGTCTGCCCAAATTAATGCAGGTCTGAGACCACTCAGTTCATGTAACTACCTGTTGTGTCATTAAAGACAAAAGAATCCAGTTCCACTGAGAAGGCTCTTCTAGCCTGTGGCTCTTCTAAAAAGAAGTCAGTGTAGGTTTTGAAAATGAGCATCCACACATCTTTAAAATGATCATTGTCTGCTTAGAAATCCTATCCAAATTGGTCCTAAGTCACAATTCCTCTAGATTTTCTCCTATTATTTGAAATATTTTCAGTTTTTGATTCTTCAAATGGCAAGCAGCTGTGCCAATTTTCTTGGATTTTGTCATTTGCCAGCTTTTTCTTTTGAAAATACACTCATGCACCATATTCTGCTTCCTGGTGCCTACATTTGGGGAGTACCCGGGTTCACTTTCACATTCTCAAATTGCATGAGAAATAGCAGGATTTTCCCTTCTTCTAGTAGATGCCTAATGAGCACTCATTTTGTGTGCCATGCCATGCCACGTGGAACTTCTGGTCAAGGTGTTCCGTAAGGAAAGGGTGACTGTTCTCAGTAGTTGGCAGCCTACTGGGCCTAATACAGCAGCCTCTGAAGGGAGCCCCGCCACCCACTACCTCTCTCATGGCAGGGGTCTGAAATACCATGGGTGAACTCGGAGAACATTCCACAGTGTTTCTGGGCCTCTGTCTCCTTAACTGTAAACTTAGTTCATCTAAATGTATCTCCAAGATCCCCTTACCATTGCAGGGCTATCGCTTCCTTCTTCTGTGTTAAGAGATTATCCCCCTTTAAAACACAAAATTGTACTTTAAGCTGTGCACATTCATTGATTCCACAGCAGAAGCAAGCTTATAGAATTTCTAATTTGAGAGCTTCTGGAGAGTGTGAGGGAACCCGGGATGGGGGCCTTAGAAAGCACCTGCAGACAAATTTCCTTCTGTTTCACACTGCTCCCAAGTACTGACCAGCCTGACCAACATGGAGAAACCCCATCTCTACTAAAAATACAAAATTAGTCGGGTGTGGTAGCGCATGCCTGTAATCCTAGCTACTCGGGGGGCTGAGGCAGGAGAATCACTTGATCCCCAGGAGGCGAAGGTTGAGGTGAGCCGAGATAGCACCATTGCACTCCAGCCTGTGCAACAAGACCAAAACTCCGTCTGAAAATAAAATATATATATATGTGTGTGTGTGTGTGTATTATACGTGTATACAATTTGGTACGCAATGTCTATATGCAATGATGTATAAAACATACAATTCTTTTCCTAGAGGAGTGAATAGTGAATAGTAAGTTCAGTGAGGGTCATAGAAAAGTGAAAATATATTACAGTATTTCTGACAAGAGCCATTATTAGAGGAAAGCCCAAAGGAGTATGGGAGGCCAGCCAGGTAAGGGGTGTATATATATATATATATATATGTGTGTGTGTGTGTGTGTGTGTGTGTGTGTGTGTGTGTGTGTGTATGTATATATATACACACACACATATATATACACACACACACACATACATATATAAAATAAAATCTCACAAACTCCGTAGCATGCCTCAGGTGACCTGGTCCCAGCTTTTACCTCTCTAGCTTTACAGCTCCCTGCCTCACACCCAGTACTCCAGCCTTATTAAAACATTTGTGTTCCTGCCAGTGTGCCAGGCCTCTGCCCGCCCTGCCCTCCATAACCTCCTCCAAGTCTCAGTTTAAGGGTTGCTTCCATAGGAAGCCTTTCCTACACCACTTGCTCCATCCTAGGGTAAGCACCCCTTACCTGGCTGGCCTCCCATACTCCTTTGGGCTTTCTTCTAATAATGGCTCTTGTCAGAAATACTGTAATATATTTTTACTTTTCTATGACCTTCACTGAACTTACTATTCACTCCTTTAGGAAAGAATTTTTCCTAAAGGAAAAATTCCTAAAGGAAAAGTATGTTTTATACATCATTGCATATAGACATTGCCTACCAAATTGTAGGTGTTCCATAAAAATGTGTCAAATGGATAAATGAATAAATGGAGATTTTTTAAAAGGCAACATCATTGAAATTTGAAAACCCCCTCCTTTTTTTCTCTCAAAATTGTTCCTCTCTGTTGACAGAGTTGCAGTCTGGTACAGTCAGTGTAAACGTCTTATTTCTCCTAATGCCCTTCCTTAACCTGCTCTGATTCTTGATTTATTCCAAAAGTTAAATTTGAAAGCCTTTGGGCATGCAAATCCCAATTCATATCCTCCTATGAACAAAACTCCCTATGAGTCTCTGGTCACCTGGCAGAGTTTTTTTTACAAGTAGCATCACATATGTCAACACTGGCTCTACTAACTAAAATAGCACTAAAAGGTGCCTTGGTGAGAATCCCATACTTTTTGAGCTGGAATAGACCTTCAAGTTTATCCCAACTTGCTTGTTTTTAAGGCTGGGAATAGCCTGGTGAATTTTCAAGATGACAGCAGTTTTCAGTTGGAAGGCTTTTAGCTTCTCTTTAGGCTAGCTTACCTGGACAGTCAATATGGCTTTATAAGTTCTATGTGTCAGATACAGGCATGATAATGTCCAGCACTATGAAAAGGGCTGTCTCTTTCTATGAGTGTTTCATCAGAAGGGAAAATTTTCCAGACACCTCCAATGGATTTTTGCCTCCTACTTCATTGACCCATACAGGTCACAACCACCCCTTAAACCAGTCACTTGCAAGAGGGCTGGGATTATCAGGATAGACCAGGATTTAAACAAAAACCAGAAATAGTGTGGTTTTATTGAGGCATGGATATTAGAACAAAATTGAGGTTCCCTCATCAAGGAAGAAGGGAAGAATTTTTTCTGGTAGGCAACTGACTGCTTAGTAAAAAACGAACTGGCATTTTTTTGCAGTTCTTCATAAGTATATTAATACAACTGCTTTCCACAGTGCTTTAACCACAGAGCTTTGCAAATGCCACTCCTCTTGAGAAGCCAGGAAAAACTACTCCAAGATTAGGAATGGGCAGCTTTATTTCTCACTTGTTGCTTCTGTTCTGAATGCCTGAAAGAAGTTGCTTCCAGACATTGATCTTTTATCTTTCAGAGTATTTTAAGGAGCTGTGTAGAATTTTTGTTTGATTTATGGACTCTGGGGGACAAGACAAATTGAGATGTGAAACACCAGCTTTTGTTCTTTCTGTCAATCTAATCACTTTCAGATGAAAGTGATGAAGAATGACATTCAGGCTGATATCACAGAGGAGGTGGAGTGGGGTGGGGTGGGGTGTGATGTGATGGGAGGGGTACATGAGGACAGGCAAACACTAAATCTGGTTGTTTTATTAAAAAGGTCAGTGAAATCAAACTGAGCAGACAGTTTTTCTAAACAAAACGAAGGGAAGGTAAGCCTCTAGGTCTAGGTCAGTCTGCCCTCACTCTAGCATGGTTCATCAGCACAGTTGTGAAAACTCCCTTGGAGAGGTGAGCAGAGTGAGGCCACTGTCACTATCTTGCTCCCAGTGACCCCCAGAGTGGCTAACCACTGACCCCGCTGCTGGGTTAGGATTGAAAAGGTTATAAATAATAGTATTCATATTTGATCCTAGTTGTTCATAAAACCTGGCGTCTTGTTATCCAGGAAACAGCTCAAATGTCACCTCTTCACAGAGGATTTTTCTACCCAAACCAAAGTTTTGTGTCTCCTCCCGGCAAACCATCCAGCCCTTGTGTTTTCTCTCCTGTTTGATTCTCTGAATAACACACATCATTATCTGAAATGGTCTGCATTTGTTTATTTATTTGTTCAAACTTCATTAGAAGAGGGTGCCTCGCCCATTGCTGTAGCCACACCACCTGAAGCAATGACCCATAGGATTGGGTGCTCAGTTGTTGAATGAATGAGTCATATTTATACAAGGAAGTCATACTCTGTACAGGAAGACAGGAAATTAAAATAGATTTCTTTACACTCGGAATTATGACATGGCTGTTTGCCTTGATTTTATCAAAAATGATATTCATTTATCCATCCATCCATCATCCATCCATCCAACCAACAAACATTTCTTGATTACTTACCAGGAATTATCATTCCTGCTGGGGTTCTTGTTTGAAAGTAGATTGACATTTAGTAGGGAAGACAGGCATGCAAATAAGTAAGTGGGAAGTTGTGACTAAAATTATGTATAAGGAGAAGAGGAAGCAATCGATTTTGCTTGGGGAGAAATATCAAGAAGACTTGAACACAGAAAGTAATGCTTGGGCTGGATCATAAAATATGTATGTCTGTTTACTAAGCAAAAAAAGGGAAGGCAATCAGCATGAGCAAAGGTGTAAAGATGTGGCATAGTATAGAAGGGTGGGAGAAATGCTATAGCCACAAAGGGCAAGAGAGTAGCCTTGTATGGGTGAAGGTGGGAGGAGAGGCATGGCACCAAAGCTGAGGCTGGAGACCAGGCAGAGGACCTCAATCCTTCCACACAGTAGGCTTTTGATAGAGGAAGAAAGGAGAGCCGACAAAATCTCTTTGAAATGTGACTCATAAGCTTTTAAGTAATCTGTTGCTAGTGGTGATAGGTTTTTATTAAAATACCTAATGTAAGATAAACCTTTATATAAGAGAAACTTTAGGAAAATATTTGAAAATAAAATTTGCAATATTTCGGTAATAACCCTCGTTATCTTGTGAGAAGTTACTTAGGAATAGCTTTAAACAACTAGCTTTGGAAAAACATCCTATTTGACCCCAAGGAATTTTGTAAAGCATTTTAGCCATTAAAGGAAAGGAAGGTTCTATTGAGTTTTTAAAATGGGCTGTGTGAGCCCATTTGTTTAAACTAAACACTGAAGTGTCTTAGGTTTTAATGAGCCTAACTGAAAATTTAGCTAAAAACAACTCATTGGAAACCAGATGGTGCAGCCACCATTGTGAGCTGAGCTCAAACCCCTTGTTTTCTCAAGAGCATGTCAATTTAGCTCCACAGAACTCATAGTACAAAGATGCTATTAATTATGGGAGCCTCTGTACCCTAGTCACTCTCTCCATCCACCCCGGCCAAATCAACACATCCTTCCCCTCTTGGAAATTAATGCTTTCATTAAAATGTGTGTGTCTCTTGGGGAGGAGGTGGGGATGGGAAGGGATGCCATTTCCCCAGGTTTTCATCTGTTAGGGAAAAAAGTTATTCAGTGACACTGGGAAAAGCACAGTAAGGCAGACTTTATTCAAGGTCATTGGGAGAGGCACAGGAACCATTGCAATAGCATCTTGCAGCGGGAGAGAAATAATGGCCTCAATTTTGAATACAGCTTGAGCAAGTGGGAATTTATAGCCTAGGTGCTGTGTGGGGGTTAGCAGGTGGAAACCTACTAAGAGGAAACTTCAGGATTAAGGGGGATTCTGGCTAAGCAACCTAACAGGACTCTTGCTGAAAACAAGCCCGGGTGATCAGACATCACCTGGGGCATGGTGGAGGATGAGGAACATAATCAGATAACAGGGATTATCAGCTATTGAGGATAGGTGGTTCTAGCTAAACTGACTTAGCAGGGTTCTTTTGCTAAAACTGGATTTTACAAGGAAGTGCATAGATGGGCCTAGGAGGAGATTCAGAAGGCTAACTAAAGGTTGGACAAGCAAAGGATTGTCACATCCTCTTATATGGCACGCAACAGCCAAGCTCTGCACTACAGATTAATACCTTGAGGGCTTTAGTAAATGAGGGCAAGAAGAGGGATGTAATGGATCTCTTGAAGAGCACTGGGTGAGGGACAGACAAGGACAATGAAACAGACAATGACAGAGTTCAGAATTATGATTCCATGATATTATAAAGGGTGCCTGGCTTATTAAGAGGTTGTGCTTTTCAGTTGTGGATACCACTTTCCAGTTTTTTGCCTTAATTTCTATTAATTCTTTACCGTTGGCCATGAGATTAGCCAGGCAATTTGTTTTCTCCTCCCTCTTTTTGTATAGTAATCTATTGGGTTATTTCTTTCCATTTGTGAGTGTTAAGGTCTTTCCAACGTGAGGGTGAAGCAAAATGTAAGGCACTGGAATCCTTTCCACCTTCTTTGTTCAAGGGCTTAGTGTTAGAGGCTCCTCATATCTTCAGTGGTCCTGACTGGACTCCTGTGAGGGGTCAGCTTCTAGGCCACCAGGCAGAGTGTTCAGGAATAGTTATCAATTGCCAATAGACAACTGCTGACTCTTACTTAACCCTAAAACCTGAGTCTTATCCCATCAGCCGTGGGTGCGTTCCTAATGGCGACTCTTGAAAGATTCATGTGGCTGCCTTCTGGTTAAAGGTTATGTTTAAATATTAGGTCTGTCCTTCCAACTTTTTGTCAACACTCTGCCTGAATGTAAAGTCCAGGTTTGAGATTTATTCCCCCAACATTTATAAAGTACACACTATGTGCCATATACACACACACATACACTCTCTCTCTCTCGTGTGCATGCTCTCTCTCTCTCTTATATAAAACACACTGTCCTTGACTTTGTGGGATGTAAGCTGTGCACAGGAAAATCACAAAATGTAGATTATTACAGCACACTACAAGGTTGATAGACCCATGAATATTTGTAAGGAGAAGTCAAATTTCAGTGGCGTGTTTGCGTGTGTGTGCGCGCACATGTGTCTGATTATTTTATGTGTGTACATGAGAGAGACTGAACTTCTGAGCAGTCCAAGGAGTAAATTAATTAAATTGGTTACTGGGATTATAATGAGATTATCATCATTGAATTGTCTTAGCTGATACTTCACCAATAGGATAAACCCCACTTCCAGAGTTTCTTAGAGGGTCAAGTGAACAGGAAGAAAAATTATGGGAACCAGGTGGAGTGGGCAGAAGGAGGGCAGGTCCTGGCATGGTGTCCCTGGAAGAAATGGAGCGAAGTCCTAAATTGGGCCTGACTTGGAAGAGCTTCCTTTTTATCTATTTTAAGTTGAAACTTGGCTGACCCTGACCAAGAGGAGTCTGGACTTGGCTTTTCTTTACTGGTCTCGTGGGTTCCTTATGTAGTTGCTACAGGCAGTTGTGAGGAGAGCCTGTTGGCATTCCTTTCTTTGATTGACATGGGGCATTGGAAAAAGGTGAGGGGAATTAGAAAACAGCTAGAAGAAGAAACAAATGAGTCATCCTCCCATCTCCTAGGCCTTTATTACTTGCATTTTCTCTCTGAAAGTTGATTCAGGTCAGTAGGGAAATCATTAGTGAGATAGTGTAGCTCTTTAAAGATTTCTTACTTATTGATGCTGAAGGCCCTTTGTGATGTGCATTTTCTTTGTTCTATTCCTCCACAGTGGTAGGAGTTCTAGATAAAATATTAATCATAAAGGTTTTTAAAAATCATTTCCAATTGCACAGAGATATTAGGAGTTATGGCCACAAAGCCTTGGTACAGCTATATTTTACTGCCCACGTGTCTTCCCAGAGATGACACATACGCTTTTCATTTTGCTGTCATTATTCTTCATGAGATCGCAGGGCATCCATCATCACTGTGGTGGAAAAATGAAGATGAGGGACAAAAGCACCAGTCTCTAAGCACAAGATGATGTGTTTGTCTGTAGTGGCTAGGGACAATCTCCAAATGCAGGAACCATAAAAGGCTCTGTGACTTGTACCTCAGGAATGAGATTCATCAGCAATGAAATCAGAATCTCAACAGCAGTTTGATATTGAGGGATTTTGAGAAGCTGTGTCTCTGTCCGCATGTGTGGAATTCCATCCCCACGGGCAGTGTAATGCCATCAGAATCTGAGCTGGGATGAAAAAGTAGCCTGCTCTCCAGAAAGTCACATCAAGTGTGGCTTAGTTTATGGCAAAGATGAATGGGGTGTTGATGTCCCAAGAGAAGGGGATCTTGGCGGACAGTGCTTTTGGCTCTTTGTTGCTGGTGGGAACCCCAGCTAGGCTTTGAAAGTGGCATGGGTTCTCAAGTACCTGACATGTTCTTCATGCTTTTATTGACGTTAGAATGTTGTTTTCCATTCTGAGAAGCCAGATCACAAGGACAGAGTGCTGTGATGAGCATAAATACTATCAAACAAGGTCTACAGCAACAGCAATAGTTATTATGTCATGAACATCTGCTTTGTATTTCACAAAGACTCTGTCCCAGTTCCTATCTGAGATGGGGAGATGTTATTCTCAGATGAGGTGACTGAAGCTGAGAGTGGTTAAAGTGTCAGGGTCACATGTCTGGTAGGGTTAGAGCTGAAATTTGGACTCCTGTAATGCTAAGTAAATTTGCATGCTGCCATGATGGCCAGTTACATGGAATCATTTAAACCTCTTTTTACATTAAGCCTGTGGAAAATGAATTCCCAGTTCTAGAGTACCGCCTGCCCTGGTTCTACAGCATGGTTCCTTGCTTCTTCTAAGTCTCTAGGACCTTGGCAGAGTAGCATACAGTGGTGAGCAGTCTTCTTTTGAGATGAAATGGGCCCAGGGCTGCCTCCTTCATGACTTCATTGTTCCTCTCTCGGCCTGTTTCTGTGCAGCCGCTTGTCATGTCAGTTCCACTTTAAAACCAGAGTAAACAGTTCTTAATAGGTGCTTTTTAAGTTTAAAGAAAGATGGAAAGGATGTTCAGACCTAGGGAAGTAGACCTGTCTCTCAGCAGGTGAGTTATTCTGCTCCTGATGTTTTTATACCAAACTGAAAATATACAGTCACACACTCACCCCTGGGGAAGTGCAGAGGACTCTCTTCATGGGGGGCCAGTGTTACTCTTCTGTCCTGAGTGAGCATTCAGTTTATTTTGATCCCTGGCCTCAAACTCAAATACCCTACTGCAGTCAAAAAGAAACTCCCAAGTCAGAATGGGGATGGTCAGAATTCATCCATTCCTGCCAGTGGTAATAAATGGCTTCTCTTTTGGGTCAGTAGGAAGTAAATTGGATGACTCCTCAGCTAGTCACCCTTTGTAAAGTTCTTTCTGACCTTGAAGCTTAGAGGAAATTGGCTGGAGGGCAAAACAGTATTTCCTAAAGTGTTTATGAAGTAGCTCCCCATGATTCTTCATGGCCAGCACTCTGTCCTTTGTATCTGTGGCTTTGTTTTTTAGTGTTCATGAAGTATTGGAGAAAAGAGTTCCCCAGGCATCTCGTTTGGTTAAGAAGATTGCATCTCCCCATTGGGACATCCTGGCTATTTCCCAGCAAAATGCTCTGCCTCCCTCGACTGTACCACATAAGCTAATTAACCTCTTTATCGATTCTCTTTCTCCTTATTTTAATTTCAGCTGGTATTTCTCTAGGCCCTGGGCCTTGGGAATTGTAGACTCATTTGTTGAACTTCTGGCAGTGTGAAAATTTCTAATAGTTTGCTTTCTGTTCCCATGCATAGTGAAGTAGGCATCAAAGAAAATAATTGATGAAAAAAAACAAGGCTTGGAAAAACCCCGAAACAACAGCCATGCTCAAAAGAGGGAAGAGGACCATTGGGTACTTATTTTTTTTTTCCTTGTTGGGAGCTGTTTTCCTTCTTTTCCCTCTGTGTGGCAAAGTAGTAAATGGTCGTCTTATTAGCTGCTCAGAATACTTTATTCTATAATTCTATATGTTTCTGTGGTTCTATACAACTGCCTTCCTTTGAGTTCCTCCTGGAGAACTAGACCCCTTCCCCCATCACCACTAAGCCATACCCACAATCAATATAAATCCAAGGAGATGGGATGAATTTCAAAACCATAGAGGGCCTAGAAAGTAGAGAAACTGTTGTGGCATTTACGGCTCTTCAATGTCCTTCCAAACAGAAGAATGTTTCTGAAACACTGAGCAGCAGCCACACCTGGGGTCTCTAAAGGCACTCCAGGATATGAACCATGACACCTGATAATGTGCAACAAAATGAGCTTTGTTCTTTTGGGCCTGTGGCACAAAACATTCCTTTGCCCGTGTTCAGGCACCTCAGCTTGAATTCATTTTGTTTACTGACTAATCAGACAACTTTGTATTTATTCTCTGCTGCTTTTGAAGAGGTGGTATAGTGGATAAGTACTTAGGCTACCTTTTTTGGAAATTTGCCTCTGCAAGATGCTTTAAAATCTGTTGATGAGCAGGTGATGTCTAGGTAGTGAATAGAAAAATCGCTTTAGCTTATATCCGGAGTTTGCAAAACAGGAAACTTTCAAAATGATTTGTAGTTTGATTCTGAAACCATCTTAGCTCTAGCTAAGATGGTTGTAACCAGACAGCATTTGTCACCCAGGGAGCTTTAGAAAAATCTACTGTTTCCTCATGGGGAGTAGAGGGATAGATTTTCAAGAATCTTTTTGGTTCATTTGAATGTGGGATTTTCCATAACCTAAAGTAATGATTAATAGTTTCTCTGCTCATATCAGGTTTTGTTGGCCAGATGTTTCTTTCAAGAACTTCAATCCTTTATTGTCTAAATTGAATCAGCATCAGATAAAACATATTGCAACCTCAAAGTCCATTGCAATCCAGCAAAATAAGATGTGGTTATGAACCAAAATTAGAGGAAGAGGCTAGGATGGCACTGAAAATTCTAAGTGATTTTCAGATATGTTAAAAATGGCTTTCTCAAAATTTTGAATCTTTGGAAAAGCCATATGATTAATCTACATGCTAAATCCCTTTTTATTTTACTTCTCAGAACACAATTCCCAAAGCCATTACCATACTCCAAATTATAACGTTTATCTTGCTTATTCAAAAACTGTGAAAAATCAGATCATATTTTCTGAAAATAGCTTTTCTGTACTTATATTTTGCATATCACTTCTGATTATGAAATTGAATTAAAGGAACGAGTCGCTATTGTGTTATCTGCCCACAGATTATTGCAAAATGATAGATAAATGCTGTACTACTAGGATTTCCATTTAGCCCTTATATGTTAGCTGTAAAGGGAGGGATAGACACATGTATCTGTATTAGTAGTTGGGAGTCTTCATCCAGTAATGGAAATTGGATCAGTAATGATCATTGTTTTCTGCCCCAAAGAGAGGCTTATAGGATTATTAATATGAATACTACAAAACATCTGGGTGATGCTTGTATCTAACAGTTTATCTTGGTGATGTATATCCAGAAACTGAATTTACAGTTGCAGGCAGGAAATCTGGGTTTATATTTGAGACTCTGCTTTATATGGGGAAGGGTGAGCAAATATTAAAACTCTAAAAACTGCATTCTCCACTGCTCTAGGTAAAGCCTAAAATTCTGTAAATTAGTTGATCATTCCTTCATCTTGTAGCAGCCTGATAGAGGAAGAGTGTGGTGTGGTCTTTGGGGTCCGAAGAATTTGGAGAATGGTCCTTAAGAAAATCAAATTATCTTTTTAAGACTATTTGGGGTTTTATTCTGTAAAATGTCTTTAGTAATAGACACGCTACATTAAGATCAATATAAATGAGGTATGGAAGGTCTTTGTTCTGTTGTTCCACAAGTACTGGAAGTTACTATTTTCTTGCTAAAATAAACATTCTTAAGAAAAAAGGAAATTTAATATTAATCATTTGCACTTTGGGATGAATTAAGAATTTAAGAGCAGATATTAAAAACACTAAATGTAAAGAGGGCTTTAAATGGCTGGTTGTCTGAGTCATGTCCAGAAAAATGGATCCTGAAAGACACACTTCATAATTTTGCTAGTTGTGTGTTTTTATTTAAACTCTTGAAGGACAGCTAGTTACATTCTTTGTTTTATTGATTTCTCTGGAAGTTTTAATATGTAGAATAAAGACATTTCCTGCTGTTTTCCAACCTTCAAGAATGAATTTTTAACTTAATTTTGTGAGTTTTGCTCTTTAAGGGAAAGAGTGGCTAGATTTGTTTGATCAGAGTTTCCCTTGGGGAGGGTAGAGAAACGGTGATCTGTTCAGAGAGGATTCGGGAGAAGGTAATATGTTTGTTACTTCAATTTATTGTAGGGTCTTGATGGTCCATGCAGCCTAAACTTCCTAGCCGTGACATTTGAGATAACTGGGGGTGGGGTGGGGGGGGGACCTGTCTTCTGATTTCTTTTCTTTTTTTTTTCAGGCAGATCTATGAGAAAGGAGGTGAATTCAGCAATTTGGTCACAAGCTTAAAGGGAGGGTTGGGAGGCAGAGGAGCAAGTTGAGACCTCATCACAGGTTTTGCTTTTAGCTGGATTTATCAGACAACCATATGTGAGAGTGAAAGAATTAAGCCAGAGTGAGGGGTGCCTGAAATCAGAGACCTTTCGCACCTCACTGAGGCTGCAAGAGGGACAGCTTTGAAGTCATGGTTTAATATTCCCAGATACTTTAGTTATTTCTTTTTTTTTTTTTTGAGACAGTCTTGCTTTGTTGCCCAGGCTGGAGTGCAGTGGTGTGATCTCGGCTCACTGCAAGTTCCGCCTCCTGGGTTCACGCCATTCTCCTGCCTCAACCTCCCAAGCAGCTGGGACTATAGGCACCTGCCACCACGCCCGGCTAATTTTTTTTTTTTTGGTACCTTTAGTAAAGACGAGGTTTCACCGTGTTGGCCAGGATGGTCTCGAACTCCTGACCTCGTGATCCACTCGCCTCGGCCTCCCAAAGGGCTGGAATTACAGGCACGAGCCACTGTGCCCGGCCCTAGTTATTTCTTAAAGTTGACTAAGAGTGGTTTCCTTCGGCCCCAAAAAACTATGCATTCTAAAACATGAAATGCTTCTCTACACCCCTACTCCATTTAAATTTTCTGAAGTGCCCATTTTTCCTGTCTTACATGGTGAAATCCTAGCTGTTTATTTTTATGTTCTTCAAGATTTAGATGGTGTCACCAGGAACCGAGTGCTCTCCCCATTCCACTACCCCATGATTTTCTTACAAAACCCAGATTAAGTTTCTCCCAGATAAACAGATAAAACTAACCTAGCTGATTTCTTATATCAAAGTTAACATTGTGAATGTCAAAGAACCAATGCTATGCAATGATGTAAAATATCGCTCTAATTTAATTCCCACTGGTAGGCCACATGTTTGCTTCAGTATTTTACCTTCTAAGCTGGGAGAACAATGCAGAGATAGCACAGCTATATTTTAATATGCATGTTACCCACCTTGAATTAACATAAGGCAGCTTCCTAATGCTATAAAATGGAAATTTATGACACTTTCAGATATAATGTCGTGCACACGATATGAGTTTTTGGGGTGGTTTTGTTTATTCCTCTCTTCTCCTCCCCTCATTTTTAATTACATCTGCCTATATAAGTGCACAGTTAATTTTCATCGGCTGCCCATATAGCTTGAGTTTTCTACTTCTTGTGTTCGGAACACTTATCTATAGTTAAGTTTTGAGGCTTAAAAGTCAGTCATTTATTTAGCACCTACTGTATGCCCAACAGGTTGTAACTAACTGGTGAACATAGGTAAAATGGAGGCATTTTCTCACCCACAAACTGCTTGCAATGAAGATGTATTTATAGGGGAGGGGAAACAATGGCTGAAGGTAACATAGGAGATTGTTTTGGCTGTTAAGTAAAGAGATATGACACACACACACGCACACACACACACACACGCATACCAGATTTTATCTATGCAAATGAACATTTACCTTAGAGAATTGCACGTATTTCCTTCAAAAATGTTGCAATTGCCCTATAAATTTGGGAGCTACTTTCTTTTGGTGATGAAATACACAAACCACAAAATTTCTTTTTGGTCTGTTATCATATTTACTTTCTAACAGTTTTATCCAACTCAATCTTTCACCTTCCTTACCCGTTTAGAATGATATTAAATGTAAAAAATTAAATATACTTTTTAACAAAGATGAGCCATATTATTTTTCTATATTCAAAGGGATGTGATGTAGGTAATTTCAGAATGATTTAAACATCAATGGTATTAGTGCCTAGAGACAACATTCATTTTGAGTACAAGTTTTGCTAGTTTTGCTAAATAAAATTGGGTACATTATTTATATTAAGTATCAAATAGTGTATGTGTGGAATACAGGTTCTTGATAATTAGGCCCCAACTAAGTGCACATAGTCTGTGGGTCTAAGTTAGATGAAAAATGTCCTAATAAGGAGCACCTTGCAATGGCCCTTGCTCTGTGCTTCAGCCCCAGCCAACTTGCCCAGGACAGAGGAACTCATCCCAAGACTGTGGCAGGAAGGTTGATAACTATTATGGCAGTACCTGTTTCTTACTTCTGGGCCTAGCTATCAGTTCATATCATCCAAGATCATTACCCAAACATGTAGACATCATCTCAGGCCTCTAACAACACAAGTAGCCAGCCTCATTTTAGAACACACCAGAGGACTCTTGACATTCTAAATTGTCATCTTTTAATGGACTCATCCCTTCTTCCTTCTTTAGGAAGTTCTCATATCTGTGTCCCGGTCTCTGTTGTCTGTTCCTGCTGTTCTCTGCTGTCTGTATCTGCTGTTCTTCCCAGACCACAGGCAGGTTCCAACATGTGCTTTAATTTAGTCTCATCTCTCATAGGATGTTGCCCACCTTTAACCTGTCTGGTAGTTGATGTGTGTACATGATACCTTTTGTTGGGTTATTCTGGTTTTCCTTCTGCTGTTTAGATGAGAGCTTCAGTCATTCTTTGGTCACTCAAACACTTTCAGACATAATAACACACTAGGCTTGTGACCATTTGGTATTTGGGGTCTTTGAATAATGTACACTGTATTTTGACAGTGGTCTGGGACACCATCAATTGATAATTGTTGCAGCAGAGGATTGCAAGATAAAAACAAATCTCTGTCATGAAAGTCAGAAATCCCAAATGTAGAATAATAATGGAAGTTTGTAGCATTTTTAGAGCACTATATGGTTTACAAAACTTTCACATTAGCTATTTTAGTTCTTATAACGGCCTTAAGTATCATTTCTCTGATTTTAGTGTGGAAACTGAGATCTAAAGAGATCTGAATGATTTCCTCATGGTCACACAGCCAGTGAGTGACAGAACTGAAGGTATCTGACCACAGGGCCTGTGTTGTTCCCACCTCCCACAGCTGAAGGAGTTGGAGTTCCTACTTTTCTCTGAGCTAGCTGCATGGCTTTAGAGAAGTAGGATGGAAGGGGTTAATATCAGTGGACATGAATGTCTCTAATATTCTTCATTTCTAATTTTTTAAGTCTATCAGGTTTGGACACGAAATTTTTAAAGGGCATGATTTAGATTTCTAGGAATCCCTGTTTCTGAATATTTTGGGGGACTAGGGCTTAGGTTACATCTTGGAATTTTTAAGGTACTGGAGCTATTTAACCCAAATCTCACTACCACAAAGAAGCTGTCCATCCATCAACACCATTTTCCCAGGCAAACAAGACTGGGTCAGTCTCTCCAAGGCCTGTCCCATGAAAATTAGAGGGTGCTGGCATTACCAGAAAGCAAAGCTTCCATCCAGGTATGGATGAGCTACTTCTGAGAAGGGAGTAATCAGTATGGACTGAAGTAAATGGGAATTCTTCCTGAACATGTGCCATCAAGCTATAGAGCAGAAGTTGGGTGAAATTTGAAAGGCGGAGTAACAAAGGCAGAAGCATGCAGGCATCGCTAAGAGCTTGGCCTTACCAGCTGGCTGACTTTGGGACTGTGCTTTGCTCTCTTCATTAGTATAATGGGGGTGGTAGTAGCACCTACTTCACATGGGCAATGTGGGGATTAAATAGTAATCATGTAAAACCTTAGCCTGACAAGTTGATATACAGTAAAAGCAAACTATTAGTTACTAGCTCAGTAAGAAACCAGGATAGCTAGGAACAGTTAGGGAGTCTAGGTAGGTTGGGTTGGGTGGGTTGGATTGGTTCCAACTGACAGGGAAAGACGCTACTTGCCTCAAGAGTGGATGAAATAAATAGCTATGGAATAACTGTATATGCTTTCCTGCAGGCTCCTCACTTAATATATATCGTACAAGACAGTAATAGCTAATATCATAGGCAGCAAATTTGACATTTGTTCATTTGTCTTTTTGTAATGAATTATTTGAGGTGAATTATGCTGATGTGTACCACCATCATTCCATTTGAATATGTGTCTTAATGTATAATGTCCTAAGGGCTGCCCAGGACTGGTGAGCAGTAACTCACTGCAGGAGGCCCCTAATTTGCCATTTCCACACCACTGCCCCATCCCTCCAGCCCCCTTAAGTTGGCAGCAGGCCACTCTGTCTTGTCTAGTAATGGTGATGGAGAGCCTGAGTGATTCTTAATCAAAGAAAATGACAACTCCATTTACATTTGTACAGATCTGATATTCACATTTGGATGTATGCCTAAAGGTACCTGGGTTGAAAATATGTGGTGTAACATTGCTTTATCTTCCTAAATCATCCTGACACAGCCTTGGACTTAATAGGGAGTGGGACCCAGAATTATGAAATAATAGCAGACATGCCACTGGAGGCTGAAATTTATGTTTTATGAGATAAAGTGGTTCTTAACTATTTTTGTTGCCATGTTCAATAGCTAGTTACTTTTAATGTTTCTATAATAAGAAAACAGTATGCAAAGATACACTTTAACAGAATTTCATAAGCTCCTACACTATGGGTAATAACCAGAGTTCTGAAAATAAAACCGTTACTTTCACTTGCATTTTAAGTCAGATTGATAGCTTTCTTTCATTTATAACGTCGTCCTAGTCTGAAAGCAAAATCACCATTTTATTATTTCTTATTCAAAGGCTGAAAGAAAAAGGTACCAAGTAAAATGATTTTGTATGACAAGGTCAATAAGACTTGGCAGCAAAGACTTGGATTGAAACTTTAGCCTTGCCATTAACCAGCTGTGATGTTGAATAAGTCATCTAGTCCTTGTCTCACTTGTAAAATGGTATAATATTGATACTATAGTTATATTGCTATTACCTGGAATGACACCCCACTCTTATTATTCACAACCTGGACTTTTTATGACCCAGGTCTGTTTTGCTTTTAAAATCTTAAATGTACAGCATCCCAATCTTAGACCACAGCCTTTGATGCTTCCAGCCTGTACTCCCTCACACCCTACACACCTGTTCTTTGATGTTGACTAAGCCCTCGGGTCTTTTGTCAGTCTCTCAGTCCCCATGAAACTTTAATAACTTGTCTCTCCAGCCTTGGGCCTCATGATTTCTTAGTTTAATCATTTTTAGCCAACATGTACTATCTCCTTTATCCTTTGTTCTTCCATAATATCCACCTTGCAGACCCCTTCCCTAAGGTCAGTCTAGCTGTTTATTTTTCTGCATTTGGGCTGCACAGCTCAACTCAGCACTGCTTAATAATCAACTGTGTATGTACCTGCTCAGTTCCTTCTCCTGTTTTCCCTGGAATAGTTGCTCCCAATCTCCACCACTCTCCTCTCCTCCCTTCCGCTGCCCCTGCCTTCATTGTTCTCCACAGGTGACCTTCTTCTATGCCTTTTAGAAAAACTGGAGCCATTGGACAGGTATCCCTTATTGGGTAAATATCCCACAGGTCTCCCTCTGCCTTTCTTCTCAAACTCATCTTCTTCCCACATTCTTACCTTCTTTCATCCTAACTCAATGTAAAGCTTTTCCCTCTGTGTGAGAGGACTCCTCCTGCTGTTTCTGTTGTCTCCTCCCTTGCCCAGAATTGCCCCTTTCCTCCCAGCCTGCAGTCATCTTCAGCGAGACCTCAGGACTAGTTTCATCTCTTTTCAGACCAAGCAACTTTTTTCTACCCTCTTTGCCTCCACATAGTCACCTCCCATTTTTTCCTTCACTCTATACAAACTGATGTCTGTCCCTGCATTGCTGTGTAAGGTCCCAGGGGCTTCATAATTGCCAGATTGAATGAGCTCTTTTTAGTCTTTATTTCACTTGGTCTTCTGTAGCACTGGCTCTGACCATACCCTCCTTTTTGAAACTCATCACATCCTCCTTCCTGAAACTTTCTCTTTCCTTGATTTGCAGTCATATTGCTGCTTTCTTTTTTCCCACCCGCTGGTTGTTTTTTCTTGGGGTTCATTGCAAGTCCTTCTGTCTCTGTAGACTGACTTGACCTCCTGAAGCCCAGTCTTCTCCACTGGACTAATGGACACATCTGTCTGGATGTCTACCCGGCCCCCGAAAACCTTGTTATGTCCTTGACTGAAGTCACTTCCTGCCTTCTTCATGTTTTCCCGAGTCTTCTGTCTCAAAGAATGGCACTCTTACCCACCTAGATTGTACAAGCCAGAGATGTTATCTTCCTGGAGGACTTCTGTTTCTCTTTCAATTCTCCAAAACACCATCTACATGTCCTGTTGATTCTACTTATTTATTCTTTGGATCTATTCTCTTTTCACTGCCAGCCTTTGTTTCAGATCCTGACTGGATTAATCATCTCCAAATCTTGGTAGAGGACAGATGAACTGCAATCCTGGATCTGAGTGGTAGCGGGTAGGAAGGTGGGCAAGGAGTGGGGAAGATGGTGACAGGGTGACCTTTCTGGAATCCAGTCTGATCTTGTAACTCCCAAGTGTAAACTCTTTAACATCGTACTCCTTACGTGACACAGGAAGCTGTTCTTCATTGGGACTTTGTCTTCTCCAATTGCATATCCTGCTATTTTCTACACACATGTGATGTCATAGCCATACACAGACTTAAGCCCTTCCTCATACATTGGCCAGTGCCTTTACTTGTTGCTTGAAATGTCCTTCCTTGTCTTCCCCCCAGTCTTATTCTTCTGATCTTTTAGGACTGAATTAAAGTCCTACTTTTGCTACCATTTCTGTTCAGCCCAGTCTGAGTTGGTTGCTCTGTGGAACTTTTGGCCATCTGCGCATCATAATATCAACTTCTCAAGCGGCCAGCCTCCTGCAAACCTTGTATGTCCTAGACTGAAGTCACCGCCTGCCTTCTGAAAACTCCATTTTGAGAAATAATAGCTGAAAACTCAAGATCTTGAGGGAAAAACTAGTGCTAGAAAGACTAAGATTGTAAGTGAACTCTGAAAATATTTTCAATCTAATGAAAGCTCTTAGAAATATTTTTTTTGTTTGCTAAAAGGAAGCAATAAAGAAAATGCAGAAGTCAAATGAGATGCTGCCTATGTTAAATAATAGATACTTTCAACAAGTCATCTAACTTCTTTGTGCGTTTCCTTATCTGTAAAATGAGGGTAACAGCATAATGGGCTGTGATGAGTTAATGTGTGTAAAATGCTTATAACAGAACCTGACATAGTAGATATTAGCTATTAATAATAATTTTTCATTTACCAGCTACAAATCTTACAGACTATCTATTATTTCCAGCCCTCCTATTTTTGCTGAGGTGATTAGAATCTGTTTTGTTTTGAAGTATGAATAGAAAGGCATTTTTTTTTTTTTATCTGGTTCTCTACCCAAGTGTCAGTGGGATCTAATTTATTACTCATGGTTGTGGAGCCATCTTAGTTTCCACTGTTGTCTCAAAGGTGTATCTTTTTCTTTGACTTGAGAATGGCTTTGGGATTCTATCTAAGCAAATTAGGCTCAGGGAATAAGGCAGAACAATCCAACCTTTCTCACCCTCTCCTGCAGCACACTCGTCTTCCTCCCTCACTCACACATAGCTCCTTTCCCTCTATCTGAAGCTGCACCCTCCAGGCCTTCTTTGCTTTCCTTCCTGTGTGTTTTCAAGGCTGCCCTACACAAGCATCTACTTCCGTTCTTCATCTGCTCCCCTCCCCCAAGTCTGTCTGTCTGTCTGTCTGTTTCTCTCTCTTTCTCTCTCTCTTATTTCCAATAGGATTTGATGTTGATTTACTTAAATCAAAATAGTCATAATACCGAAAATGTATAACAAAAGAAAGTCATGATTATAAGTTCCATGAGGGCAAGAAATAGCATTTTATTCAGACCTGCATTTGAGGCATTCAGTAGTGAGTAAATTCTTGGACAAAGGAAAGTTACCAGAAGCAAATGAGATGATCTATAGAAAAGAAATATGTAAACTGTAAAAATTAGTACACAGATTTTTAAAATCAATCTATTCTTCCCCTCTTCCATTTGATAATGGTAACACCTTGATTATACCAAAATCTTGAGGATCTATTTTTTTTTTTTTTTATTGTTAAAGTATCTTAAAAAGATGTCCCAACCTTCCTGGGTAACTCTGGCCCTTTAATCACCTTCACAAATCTACTTTATAATAAAATTTAAAAATTTATGGTTTAAATGTTGTTTCTTTTATTTTTAGTATGATAAGGTGATCAGCTGTTCTGGTGACATTCATGTATTTGTATGTTATTACATGTTTTTTTATCAGCCCATTCCTGAAGCTATGAATGTCTTGACAGTTTTACCCAATTGTGCTGTTTATCAAATCATTTCAGATCATGCTCAAAGCATTCTCTAAATTCTCTAACTTTGATTTAGGTGGTGGAATTTGTTTTAATTACATCCTTACCTAAGTTGAGTGTTGAAGAATGAAACTTCAAAGTCTTTGTTTTATAGAGCCCAAGTCCCTACACAGCTGGCACCTTTATACACAATGGAGATAGAAGTACAACACGTCTGAACTACTGCATCCTTTATTCAGTCTTCTTTTTTCCAATCATTTGCTTTAATACTGTATTTCTTGAGGGTTTCTAAGAGTATTGGCATCCAGGAAGAAATTGCTCATGAATCATTATTGGTATAGTTAAATGCAAAATAGCAGTTATGAAGTTTATACAAATCTTTTTCAGTAGCTTCATTGCTCCTTTTTCATAATCTTGTAGTAATTTCAAGCCTTTTGTTGAAATCTAGACAAGCCCTATGATATACTCCTTATTAAAATTATTAAATTTAAATAATTTTAATAATAAATATATAATATTTAAAGAGAAGCAGTAAGTTGTCATCCTATCACTATTGAGTTGATTTTTCTAATAAAGTATATCAAATATGGGTGTGTCAATTAATGAAATACAATAATGAAGTTCATTTCTATCTCACCTTTGTAACATAGAGGCCGATGGATTAAATTTCGAGTTCAAAAACATGATAGTTTTCTTAATAGTATATTTACTTAAAGCCATGGTAGAAATAGTATGTGACCAGATGAAAAGTATGTACTGGCTAATGTATTAGCCAGTACAAAATAAATTGGAATGCAGCAAATCCCTTTTTTGCTATCATTTATTAAGCTCTTTGAGAAAAGTGGTTTTTTCCCCCAGAATAAGTGAGTATGTTTGAGAAGTATTAGAATCCTGATTTTTTTGAGTAAACGAGTTCTCTCTTGAGAATAGTATAGCACTAAGTAAGCACAAAGTTAAAATTTTATTTCTGGCCGGGCGCAGTGGCTCACGCCTGTAATCCCAGCACTTTGGGAGGCCGAGGTGGGTGGATCACGAGGTCAGAAGATCGAGACCATCCTGGCTAACATGGTGAAACCCCGTCTCTACTAAAAAATACAAAAAATTAGCCGGGCGTGGTGGCGGGCGCCTGTAGTCCCAGCTACTCGGGAGGCTGAGGCAGGAGAGTGGTGTGAACCCGGGAGGCGGAGCTTGCAGTGAGCCGAGATCGCACGCCTGCATTCCCACCCCGGCGGGCGACAGAGCGAGACTCTGTCTTAAAAAAAAAAAAAAAAAACTATTTCTGTCTCTAAAAAAAACAAAATTGCAGTCCTCTTCAATTGTTTTCTGCACTTGAGCTTTTTCTCGAAGGACCTTACAAAGTAAATTAAGGAAGAATACTCTGGATCTAACATCGATGGTTCTTTCTCAATGAGTTAATAACGGTGGATTTCTTTTCTCACGATTTTTCTTTAATTATTATGTTTCCTAAAACCACATATATTGAAGATTTTCTTTTAGTGGTGTCTTCCCCCAAATAAGATGCCATGAGTTGATCTTGGCCATAATTGATTTGGAGAAAGCCTCTGAAAATGGAACCAACAGGGAAAAATAAAAATACATATTTTTATAAACCTTCCTCTAGGAGTAAAATCCATTAAAAATGAAGCTAAATTTGTTGTGTGAGAAATGTAAATAATTTAATAATAAAATCGACTTAAGACTCAGGTCCCTCAGAAATGAAGACAGTGCTTTATATATAATAGCTGCTCAGTAAGGAGTCTATGAATTTAACTTTTAATTAACAGGGCTACCAACAGGTTCAACCCCAGAAGATGCCACTTTTATAGAAAACAATGGGAAGGGTGCTTTTTGGAGTTGTGTAACAATGTGGCTTGTGAGTTGGATAAGAAGGTGTTTTTTTTTTTTAATTTACTATAAATATTATGTTCATTTTATGTGAAATTAGATTTTCTTCATAAGACCTTTCTTTGTAAAAACTTGACCACATATCAAAGGGCACTGAAATCCATTTCAACTTACAGAAATGATGCCCTTTCAGGAAATTTTTATTGGCTGCCCTTTTCCTTAATAGTGTAATAGTGTATGTATTTATGATATGTTGTGAATCCCTGGGCAGGAGTTGTCAAGGTTAGACAACTCCACTGAAAGTGGAGTTCGAAAGAACTCACCTTATCCGGACACTCCTGTTTGCATTTCAGTTCTGGAAGGGAAAACAGGCATAACAAGTATTTCTATTTCTCTTCTTCATGAAAACCATGAGAGCTAAAAAGATTTGCCTAGAGCCTTATTGAAAAATTGAAAACTGATCAAATTCTAAATAGAACTTATGTATTTTTACTCCTTTAGCTCCACTGCATTTATTATTTCCAAAGATTTTTTTATGGGTTCTGAATTTGTTTCCTAAAATGTATTCTTCTCAAAAAGATTTTTTTATGTTTAAAAATGTAAAAACAGAAATAACATGTTTAAGAAGTATAATTCAATCTTTTAAAGCATCATATGTATAATTGCTACATATTTTTCAGTACTCAAGCCCATGAACCGTTGAATGCTCATCAGTGGTTAATAAATATTGTGTTATTATTGGCATTAAATTACCATCAGTGGTTTATTAAATCTAAGACAGATTTTCTGGTTAAGAGTTCCTGGGATATCATGAGGTATATTTTAATGACTAAATCCAGCAATTCAGTTATTTTGCTTATATGAGCGCCAATTTTATTTTCTTAATGTCCCTCATGCAGACAGAAGCCACCAGTGAAATAAACCATTAATGTTGCAAACACAAGACTGCTGAGTTAAATGATAAAAAAAAAAAAATGCAGATTGATACTGATCTTTTGGATCCTAGGCAAGTACCTAAGACCCAACCAATGTGATTGAAATCAGATACTGGCAACTAGGTTGAAATTAGACTTGATATTTTCAGATCAGGTGCTGTTAGAAGAGATCCTGCTTATGAGTCTTTGACCATATGCCTACACCTATTTCACAATTGAAAATGAGGAAGAGGAGGAAGGAAGGCAATTTTCGTGTTTTGTGCAGGTGTCCTTAGCTGACTGAGGTCTTAACAGTTTAGGCAAATTTTCCGTCTTTCCATATTTATGTCAGGGAAAGAGGATCAAATGTTCTCTTTGGTTCAAAAAGCACAGCCTCATTCTTTTTTTTTTTTTTAATTTAAGTTCTAGGGTACAAATGCACAACATACAGGTTTGTTACATATATATACATGTGCCATGTTGGTGTGCTGCACCCATTAACTTGTCATTTACATTAGGTGTATCTCCTAATGCTATCCCTCCCCCTTCCCCCCACCCCACAACAGGCCCCGGTGTGTGATGTTCCCCTTCCTGTGTCCAAGTGTTCTCATTGTTCAATTCCCACCTGAGTGAGAACATGTGGTGTTTGGTTTTTTGTCCTTGCAATAGCTTGCTGAGAATGATGGTTTCCAGCTTCATCCATGTCCCTACAAAGGACTTGAACTCATCCTTTTTTATGGCTGCATAGTATTCCATGGTGTATATGTGCCACATTTTCTTAATCCAGTCTATCATCGATGGACATTTGGGTTGGTTCCAAGTCTTTGCTATTGTGAATAGCACAGCCTCATTCTTAACTGCTACCTGTAAGGTAGATCTGTTGGCTGCTGCTAGCAGAAATATATCTTAGAGATGCAGTTACCTCTGCTTCTATACTTTATATTGCTAATATTTAAATAAAGCATATATATTTACAGAAATAAATCTTCCTAGGTGGAAAATATATTCTGATTATCAGGCATTTTAATTTACACTTCTGTTCTTTATTCTTTAGAGAGAATTTAAATAGAATTTTAAAAGAGAGAGACAATATCTTATTGTTTGCTTGACTTATATGCAAGGCCAATATGAAAGGAAAATACAACCTGGAAAAATCTTGGGTTTTTTGAGCCTCAGTTTTAAAGTCTGATAACAGTACTTGTTCTATCAGAGTTGTTATGCCTTCAAGTAAGAAGTGCTATGAATTTTTAAAAAGAGAACAGAAGTGCTGTAATCCCAGCACTTTGGGAGGCTGAGGCAGTTGGATCACCTGAGGTCGGGAGTTTGAGACCAGCCTGACTAACATGAAGAAACCCTGTCTCTACTAAAAGTACAAAATTAACTGGGTGTGGTGGTGCGCACCTGTAATCCCAGCTACTCGGGAGGCTGAGGCAGGAGAATCTCTTGAAACTGGGAGGTGGAGGTTGCGGTGAGCCAAGATCGTGCCGTTGCACTCCAAACTGGGCAACAAGAGCAGAACTCTATCTCCAAAAAAAAAAAGAAAAGAAAAAAAAAGAAACAGAAGGACTTGGAAAAGTGTTTCCACAAAGAGGTTAGGAATTCATTCATACAGCACATATTGATTGAGTACCCACCATGCGGGCACTGATCTGCTACTGAAGACAGAATAGTGAACAAGACAAAGAGAAGCCGCTGCCCTCAAGACATTTCCCTCCTAGAGCAGGAAATGCCCGATACTCATGATAAATAAATAAACTGTATAGTTTGTTAGATGATCTGTAAAGCAGGGAAGGAGGATAATAAGAGTTAAAGTGGAGTTGAAGTTTTAGATATAGCAGCCAGAAAAAGACTATTGGAGAAGAGTCATTTGAGACTCTTTGACCCATTCAAGTCAAGACCTGAAGGCAGCGAGCATTCAAGTGTGGCAGAAGGAAGAGACATGTAAAGTCCCCATGGTACATTGGAGGAAAGGGAGAAGGAAACTAGACCTGCAATGTGGGCGAGTCGGGGACTGGGGGGGAATAGTAGGAGAAGAGAACAGAAATGGAACCTCAATCACACTAAAAGCACTGTGATAACACCATTTACCCAGCCACTCTACCAAGTGTATCTACACATGTAATTTAATCCTTACTGCAACCTAGTGAGCTAATTGTTTTGTATCTGTTCTACACAGTTAGAGGTTCTAACTCTAGACCCACTAATTAGTCCAAGGGAACCTCATACCTCTTTCAAAGCCTTTCCTCGTAACCTCCACGTCCTCTATAGGGCCTGCAGAGCTCTAGCTACAGATAGTCAATTCTCTCCTAGACTATGTGAAATACCTGCTCGAGAAGAGAAGATTTCCAAGAGTCAGCAAGATGCTGTGCTTACCCGTCTCACGATCCCTGATGAGTCGACCTAAACTGGAGGCATGAAAATGTGGTGGAAAGAAGAATTTCACTGGAGTCAGGGAAAACTCACCCTCCTTGAGACGAAGCTACCTGATAGGTCACAGTTGGATCGCAGCTAAATTTAACTATAAATCAATGCATTTACTAACTAGTCAGCTACCCTCCCATTCAGGCCTACCCAGAGCTTGGGGCAGATCATATTTACTTAAAACAGCCCTTGTTCTTTCTCAGTGTGTCATCATATTTCACCCCCGCCCCTCCCCCAAGATTTCAGACAAAAGTGTTCTCAGCATTATTGTCCTGATGGGAGAGTACAGGTTTCTGAGAGGCACTTGACTACTTACTCCCAGCAACTAGCTTCCCAGGGATGGATGTGTTTGCTGACAAATTGCTGTAGTCTGTGATGGCCATCACTTTGAAGGATTATGAATATGTAAGAGCCATCCTGCATTTATAAAACAACTTTCAGTTTTCTAATGTCCTTTTTGTAATATGCAGGTCTTTGCTCAGAAATCACAATCGCAAATGCAGTCTGTGCTGACACAGAAGACATCTGTTGGAGGGGGAGAGATATTTTCAGCCTTTGCGGAGATCTGGGTCTTCTGCTATTGCAGGTGGAACAATTAATAGGCCATAATTATTTCTTTCATACACTGTGGAGAGTCTATATTTGGATGTTATTCTTTGACCATCTTGAGTTCTTTAATCCTTAAGTATCTAAAAGGTGGTGAATGGTGTCAGTGATATAGAATAATGCTGCTCATTTATTTTTTCTAAAAAATTGAATTTTGCTTTCCTTATTTCTTGGAAACAGATCGCTTACAGCAATTGCAAGATTCCTATATCCCTGCATTTGAAGAACTTATGTTGGATAAAGGCAAACACCTTTATTCTCTTGTCATTGACTGTTACATTTTTAGCTTAAAACTTCACATGACTTATATTTTAATCAAACAAAATAATATATTTCTGAATTGAGTACCTGATAACTTAAAACTATAAGTAAACCTTTAAGAAGGAAAGAACACGTAGTATGAAGAGTTATTAAGATGTAAATATTGTTTTAAAATGAAAATAGGATATTCTTTCTAAAATTAACATAATTAGCCAGAATTGTGTCCAGTTATAATAAACCAAATTCCATTTAGTCCTAATAATACTTCATTAGGTTTTTTAAAAATTTAGAATATGCTGCTTAAATGGGAAAGTCTTAGAATTGGCCACTCAAAAGCCAGTTGAAAAGTGGTCTCAGAAGTCACTGGGTATAGTATTGCCTGTGTTCTTAAAGAACATACATTTTTGGGATTTAAGAAAAGATTTTACATGTAAGATTCTACTAAGCAAGGAAAGAACAATTCGTCGTCTGCTGTGCCTCCCTTAAGCCATGGGAGATCCCTGAGGTCAAGACCTTATCATTTGATCTTTGTAGTATTAGTGCCTATTGCAGAATCTGACATTTCATAGACTCCAGCATTCATTGAGCACCTATGAAATGTCAAATTCTTTTAAAACATGGTTTCTCAACCTTGACTCCATTGACATTTTAGACCCAATTATTGCTTGTTGGGGAAGGGTGGTGTCCTGTGCATTATGAAGATTTAGTAGCATCCCTGACCTCTACCCACTAATTGTCAGTAGCTGCAGTCATAACAATCAAAAGATGTCTCCAGACAACATCAGATGTCCCCTGGGAAGCAAAGTTGCCCCGCTGAAAACCACTGTTTTAAAGGGTTTGAGAGGGAGAATTTACATTTTTTGGGATTAAAAAAAAACTAGTTTTTAAATTCTCTCTCCTCCATATGTATATATTTACAATGTAGTATATTTGTATATATACAATATTATCATTTTTAATTTTTTTTTTTTTAGAGATAGGATCTCACTCTGTCCCCCAGGTTGGAGTGCAGTGGCACAATCATAAAATTCAATTTTTTTGAATTTTATGAATTTTTTTGAAAGATTATGAATATGTAAGAGCCATCCTGCATTTATAAAACAACTTTCAGTTTTCTAATGTCCTTTTTGTCCTCTCACCCTCCTTCCCAGAGAACAATATGCAGGTCTTTGCTCAGAAATCACAATCGCAAATGCAGTCTGTGCTGACACAGAAGACATCTGTTGGAGGGGGAGAGATATTTTCAGCCTTTGCGGAGATCTGGGTCTTCTGCTATTAACCAATATGGACCAGGTTCTCCTTTTGTAATGGGACTGTTAAAGAATGTTGCTGTCTCCAGTCAGATGACGTCAATGGGGATGGTAGGTTTACTTCTAGGTAGATCTAGTTTAAGTTTAAAAGGAGTGCAAGTACATACAAGAGCATACTGCAGCCTCAAACTCCTGGGCTCAAGTGATCCTCCCACCTCGGCAGAGTAGCTGGGACTACAGGTGCATGCCACTAGGTCTGGCTAATTTTTAGATTTTTTATAGAGACGGGGTCTCACTATATTGCTCAGGCTGGTCTCGAGTTCCTGGCTGCAAGTGATCCTCCTGCCTTGGCCTCTCAAAGCACTAGAATTATAGGCATGAGCCACCACACTCAGCCTATATATGTTTTAGGTATATAAGTTTTAGATATAATTTTACCAACATACATGTTATGTGTATGTATAATAAACATACACATTCTTACAGAGGAGACATTTGGCTGGGAGTGCTCATTGTAGTCTTTTTTTTTTTTTCCGTGGGAATCATTATGACTCCAGTAAGTTGCTCACTAAATTTCATCTGTCACTGTGTTCCCGTTCAGATACAACTAAAGCCTATTGAAATTGATTTTTGTGTCAGTAACAGAGCGGGGATTCAGTAAGAACCTGAAAGCTTCCCTTTCATTACTAGTCTTTTTCCCCCATATTACTTTAGATTTGGTGGGCCCTAATTATATTCCAGTCTTTTCCCTGCTGACATTTCTTTTGTTTTAATTAAAACTGCTGGAGGTTTGAGGACACCGTGGGAGAGGGTTTATTCATCAACAGCCCAAATAAAGAGCCAAATGGGTCCCGATTTGTGTTACTGCCACCCCAAGAATGATAGCTGGGAACACTGTGGTCCTTTGCCTTTGTTTTTTCTCATGACACCAGTGTGGTCCTTTTTCTTTCTGAACAGGAGACTGCTCCTGCTGCTGCTGCAGAAGTCTATTAAGTGAATGAGACAGGACTGTGGGTGGACTGGCTTCCTATTGAAGCCATACATTAGGCAAAATGAAATGCAGCATTGCCTTTTTATTATTATTATCATCTATTTCCCCCAACCCCCAGCCTATCGTGTCTGTGGTCCAAAGCCAACCCTGCCCACTCCCAATCACCTGGTTGTAAATCTCAGACAATAGGGGCCAGCTTCGGGCTGCATTTGGCAACCCTGTGCAGGGCCAGGGGAGAGGATGTAATATATCTTCTTTATCTGCAGCTAGGAGGTGGGATGGAGTGAGCAAAGAGTCTGCCAGAGGTCCTGAGGGGAAAGACAGAGTTGCCTCATAAAGTAGTCCTTAGAGAGGGAGCTATTGATTTGAAATCTTTAAAAATGAACCCTGTTTCTCCAAGAACAGTTGCATCGTCCTACCTCTAGTTAGTACCAGCTCGGGAAAAGAGGAGGCAGAGGTGAAAGGATGTTGGCAGGGCAGCGTCTGGACCTTGCTTTTCTCTTGATGCATCTTTCTCTCCCTGACCCTTTCCTCTGGTAAGCTGTTGATTATGACATGCAGAATGCTAATGTCTCTAGTGAGCCTCCAGGGCCTATTTCAGTGACCTAGTTTTCTTAGTTAACACTTGGAAAAGAAAACAAAAACAGAACCTTGTTGAGCAAAACACTCACATCAGATCACATAGCTTTCCCCTCCAGTTAGGACACCGTAAGCCATTCTTATGGTCCTCTTTTTTCTTAAGCTTCTGACACGCGGAAGTAGACATTTCCCCAAATTCTATCAAGATTCTCCCAGGTGTAGCCCCTGATGGATCACAGGAATCTCTGTTCATTGTGATTTGTGGCAATTTACAAGGTTCACTAGGCCTAGAAACTTGATGTTTTCCAGTGTGATTTGGCACCTACCCTTTACAAGACGCTGTCCCAGGCAATGTTAGAGGATTAAACAGGTTTAAGGTGGAGTTCCTGCCTTTGAGGGGCTTTCTGTTCTAGTATGTAGCAGCCATGTGCCTGGAGGACTGCGTTTTAAGGGCATTAGGGACTTAGGGCACCCAGAGGAGAGAGAAGTGGGTTCCAATACAATTCACACAGGCTATTTTAAGTTATTAAGGGCTATACACCCTCACATTTAACTTTTTCCAGGTTGCATCAAGAACCTTTTTTGTGTCTTCAGAGGGTTATTGACCCTTCTACTAAGTTCATGTATGTAAAAATACTTTTTCCTGGATTCTCAGATTTCATGGAATACTAAAATCTCACTCTATAAACCCCCCCCCCACCAAAACAAAACAAAACAAAAACAACAACAACAACAAAAACATATGGTTGTTAACTTTTAAAAGTTAAAAACATTTCATTAATGGGCATTTTAACACCAAAAATAAGAATCCTGCTTAAGTTGAATACCTCTTGTTTTCTGAAAAAATCACCACTGGGTCCTTATTTTTCACCTTTTACTGGAGTTGTATGTAAACTTTACCTTGGACTAGTGTTCAGGTACCAGGGTTTTGAATGATGTTTATAGCCCCAGGTGCCATTCTTGGTTCAGGGGATAGGGAAGGCTATTGTGCTGTGTGGGGAGGAGTGGGATATTTGGAGAGGCTGAAGAGTTGGCTGCATGTACATACTTTGTCGCCATCTTTTGAGCCCCCACACCTAGGGGGGTTAGTCCTCCCAGAAATGAATGTATGAAAGCCACAGATGAGATTGGGCGTGGTGACTCATGCCTGTAATCCCAGCACTTTGGGAAGCCAAGGTGGGCAGATCACTTGAGGTCAAGAGTTCAAGACCAGCCTGGCCAACATGGCGAAACCCTGGCTCTACTAAAACTACAAAAATTAGCTGGGCATGGTAGTGGGAACCAGTAATCCCAGCTACTTGGGAGGCTGAGGCAGGAGAATCACTTGAACCCAGGAGGTGGAGATTGCAGTGGGCCGAGACAGCGCCACTGTACTCCAGCCTGGGCAACAGAGTGAGACTCCGTCTCAAAATAAATAAATAAATAAATGAATAAATAAACAAATAAAAAATTTTTAAAAAGCCACAGATGATTGTGGTAATTCTGTGGTATAAATTAGATGAGAGCCAGTGAGAGCTTTGGTTTTGTGCTCATTTTTTGGGTTGAGAGGAGGTTACTGGGAAGTGTGTTCTTGGCGCAAGGCCCTGGCCCAGAGGCTGGCTCGTCTGCTTTTGAGTTCTCGTCACCCCTCATCTTGTCTGCCTCGTCACTGCTGTCACTTCAGCTGTGCGTGTCTTTCCTGGGTACAGGCATTAGGCTCCCTGCCACGGAATCTGCATACATTAACTATTGTCTGCTAAAAATTGTGACTATTTGATTTTTTTCCCTTTAAGCATCCATTTTGATTTATAAACTGAGCCAAGCTGGCAGCCAGGAAGACTGAAGAATCCTAGTTTCTAACAAAGAAAAATGAAACCCAGTCTCTTCTTCCCCACTTCATGTCTGTGAGCAAGTCTCAGCTTTCAGTTGGCCCACCCCTGAACAGTCTTGAAAGCAATCCATTTTCTGTCACTCAGAGGTGCCAAGCAAAGGAATTCACAGTGAGTGGTGTTGAGATGGAGAGTAATTGCTTGGGCACCATCCTGAGTCGGTACCTTGCTTTACCTCTGCCACAAGTCTGGGAGCCATAAAGTCTGAATTACAGTTCTGCACATATGGAGAGCAGGGTTTTTAAGCCACCAACGAATGGCACATGTAGGCCAAGGAAACACAAAGGCTCCATTTAACCTGGGGAAGACTTAGGAATGGACATCATGCCAAGTATGCTCTGTGAACATTCATGTTACTTGATCATAAGGATCTTTGGAGTCTTTTCATAAAGTTGTCTTGTCTACCTCTTTGCCTCAAGACATGTTGTATCAAGGAAAGGTAGCATTCCTAAAGATGTCCAGATAGATATTAACTAACCTTTAGTCTCAAATGGGAGTGGAAAACCAGAGTTCATGTTTGCCATCATCATGACAGCTCAGAAGTAAAGCTAAAACCAATTTCTGGTTTCTCTGTGATCTATGGAAAGGGAAAGTAAACTGGTCTCTCTGTAGAGTTTAAAAGAACTTCATCCACTTAAAATCATCTTCCAGGTTTTTATTTATGAGCAAAATAATTATAATTCCTGCTTACAACCCCACCCTATCTGGTCCCATACACTCTGTGGCTGGGGAAATGTGGGGGTAAGGGAAACAGATGTAGATATGTGGATGGTACCAAGAACCCAAACGCAACCCTCAAATTTCATGCCTTCATTCAGTCTGTTTTTCAGCAAATATTTGCTGAGTGCCTGCTGTGCCAAGCACTATGAAGGCACAAGGGAAATACATATCCAATCTATTCCCAAGTCCTCTTCATTTGGCCTCCTGTCCATTCCCACATTCTCCACCCTTTCCATCCTAATCCAAGTGGCCATCATCCTTCACCTTTCTCCAGGAAGGAGCATGACCTTGGGTGAGGTGGCTCTTTGGCTAAGGGCCATTCCCAGAGAGGGACCTGACAGAGTTGTCAGGTACTTCAGTCTGTACTCGAGAATCTTGGTGGCACACTGCAGCATCTATGATTGATACACAGATGATAGATAGATAGATAGACAGACAGACAGACAGATAGAATAAGAACAGGTGAGCCATAAAACAACAGCTGCCATTACTACATATTCTACATTCTGCTTTTTTTTTCCATTTTGATTTGATTTATTTTCATGGTTCTGGTGATGCGTGTTTTGAAAAAAAAATCACAGTGCTGGTTATGATCAGTGGGGTTGGGATAGTATTCTGTGGAAACACAAAGGTGGAGTACTCATTTGCAATTAGGAAATTGAAGACGACTTCCTCAATAAAGTGGAGATTAAATCTAAGGTAGATAGGAAGGAGAATGAGCCACTCTCTACCTGTGTGTGAGCTTCCTTTGGCAGGAGGATGAAGACAGTGGGGGGAATGTCTGAATTTTCAACAAAGATGGTTTGCTTGAGTGCTTTGCCAGAAATAAATGTATGTGGGTGACCTAGAAATGAAAGTATTCTGTCTTCCAGGCTAGCCTTAGGCTAGCAGCTCAAAAACCCTCTTGCTCTTCCTTAGAAAATAACAACAATAACAAAAGTGAAGCTTATGTGGCTGTTAAAACAAAACTGTTGTTTTCTCTTGCATTCATTTTAGGGAGGAGTTGAAGGAGTAGGGTATTGTATTAATCGTACTTGAGTGATTTGGATTTCACCTCGATGTTGAATTATTTTACATAGAACAAGGATCAGCATAGTTTGTTGCCTCAAAAGTGAGGGAGAAGAAGGGAAGAGGGGAGCAGAGTAGGTTCTTAAGTGTGTCTGAGGACCAGGCTGAGCCGTGACCCCAAGGCTCTGCCTCCCTTGTTTTGATGCCTTTCTTGTTCCTTTCTGGTGGATAGGCTTTTTATGCTTTAGGACATTATCTGACATTAGGCTTGGGGTCCTATCAGAATATCAGTTTTACTTTTCTAGATTTAGCATGTTCACTAGCTTTTGCCATTATTGGTTATTTCTGTAGGAAAAAAATAATTCAGTTCATCCTTTTATTAAAAAATGACTCAGCAACTGCAATCTGATAGGACATTTTCTCTAATTTTCATGGAGAATTTTTTTAAACTCTTTTATCTCCTTTTAGAAGTTTTTTCTTTTCAGAATTTAATTTTTAGTTCTTGGTTGCACATGTGGTTTTTTTTTTTCATTCATACATTTGTCCATTTTAGAGATGGGATCTTGCTGTGTTTCTCAGGCCAGCCTCGAACTCCTGGAGTCAAGCCATCCTTCTGCCTCAGCCTCCCAAGTAGCTGGGTGTACAGACGTGCAACACTGCACCAGCTTGAAACATGTATTTTAGATCTAAATTTAGATGGTGTCTATATTTGTATTTTAAATTTCTCTTATAAGGAAAAATAAATTAGAATTGGGGTACTGTTACATTTTCCCTTCAAAATTCTATTGCAATAACATCCCCTTCGTTGCACTGCCCCCAAATTTAAAAAATAAATTATTAAAAATCCTATGTGAAGCAAAGATGACTGGTTCGATATTTAGTTCCAGTTAAGTAAAATATTAAAAGTTTGTTTTAAAAATTATTTTAAAAGTTTGGCGATAGAAATTTGTGATTTAGGAGCTGGATGGTAGAAGTGGGATGGAGGAGAAAGTGTCCTAAGTTTAGCTGTGAAGTTTTGGCCTGATCTCTAAAAGGAGAGGATTGGGTTAGGCTCTTAGGGGCCCCTTCCTACTCAATTCATTTCTGATTTTATAAAGTTACCTCTTTAAAAACTGTCTTACAATGACTGTGCCTCAGGTTCCTAGTGAGCTTTAGGTCGGCTGACTCCCTGCCATTCCCTCCAAGTCTGCCTTAATCTGGATCATAACTTGGCCTGATGTTCTCTGGGGATAGAAAAGGCAGCTCATGCTGGGCAAGTTCCTTCATGGCCCTTTCCTGATCAGCAAAATGTGACAGCTCAGCATCCTTCCTGCTCTAGCGCGTGGGGATACCTTTGCCTGGGAGTGATCTGAGGCTGCTAATTGTTCCACCTCCAGGATCTCATGTAAGCCCAAACTGCCATCCCAAGGTGTATTTTTCAGTTAGCTGTCAGACCCACTGAGAACTGCTGTTTCAGCCGGGAAATGAAATTTAAAATTTAAAGTGTTGTTTTCTTTTCCAGTGTTACCTTCCATCATTTTCATAGTGGCTACTTAAAAAAACAAAAAAAAAAACAAAACAACAACAACAACAAAACAAAAAACAGTAGCAACAACAAAAGCCAAGTATACTAGGTTTTTTAAAAGAGCTGATATCTTATTTATTCCAACAAGAACTGCCCACTGCCTGTGTTCGAAATGTAACACACGTCACTTTTATCCCGCCTCATCTCTGGCCTTGAGCCAGTACCATGGGCTGGCTCAGCCCTAGGCTGCTGATGGGAAGAACTAGGTGTTGAGGTGTCCTTGTAACAAATTATTCACTCAAAGAGGATTTCCTGCTTCTTAAGGACTTAAAAATCTACTGCAAAGTCTCTCAAAGTGCATGCTGGCAGACATGCCTCAGGGACTCCCTCAGGAATGAGGGGAGTCGGGAGGCAGAGCAGACTAGAGTTGGGCAGTCAAGTCCCTGCTTGAACCAAGGGAGTTCACTTAAGGTTTTATTTGGGGAAAAGGTTGGGCTGCAAATGGAGCCACAGGGGAAGGAAGGGAGAGAGGAAGGAAGACCAGAGAGGGAGAGAGGGATATTAATCCTTTGAGGTCCTTGGAATAATACACACAGGGACATGTTCATTGATAGACAGAGGTGACGAGGAATCGACAAGTGAGGTATCAGAGGACAGAGTACTGTAATTGAATCTGGAAAGAGAGAGTAAGTTGTCTGAGGAGTCAAGAAGGCAAAGGGCATCCCAGACCAAGAAAACATACCATCTGAGAGGCAAGAAACAATAAAGTACATTTACAGAAGCGCAAACAGTTTGTTCTCAAGGTCCACAGAGTAAGAGCAAGTGGGAGCCTACCAAGGTGGTATGGCAGAAAGGGGGTCAGCTCTTGGAGGGCCCTGCAAGCCGTGCCCAGTGGTTTGTCTGTATCCTGTTACAGGTACCATTAAAATAATTTCAAGGCAAATCAGCTATATAATATCAGACAGACCCTCTGTATTTGCCTACGTTTCCCCTACCCTCTTTCAGTGTTTTAGCAGATGAACAGCCATTATTTAAGACATGATTTATAGCCATTACTTTAAAGTCCACTGTTGGTTACAAAGCTGTTGATTCCTTTGCAAGGGTCATCATTACGGCATCACAGACTCAAAAGAGGACGCTGTTGCTACTTCTTCCTTGTGCAAGATTGACTCATGGTTTGCAGGAAAGGTAGCGTTGCTGCTCTGCAAGAAAGTTAGTGTTCCTGGTTCTGTAGCAGTGGCACTTCTCTCCCTATCAATCTTGTGGAAACTAAATTTCTAAATGCTGCTTGGGATGGAAAGAGTTGGTAGTGCTGATACCCACTCACTGCCCTCTCTACTAACCACTGAGCCCAGTCTCCCCACGTTTTGTAGATGGGGAAATGAGGGCCCAGACACAGCCGGTGGTCATGGGCAGAGCCTGGACAAGAACTGGGCCTCTGGGATTCTGGTCCAGGGCTCTTTACAAGGTAACACGCCATCCTCTCCCTCGATTTCAGGAAAGTGGAAATAAGTGTGAGGGGCTGTGTCTGTGACCATATTGGATTACTGACCTACTGTCCCCTTCTTTGTGCTCTTTCCCCAGTGAGGAGGAAAAAAAGGGCAGCAGAATGGGGGTCAAAAGCGGAAGGAAGCACCATCAGAATCAGAGTAAATAGATTTTTAAAGCTGAGATATGTGAGAAGAAAGAGGACAGGCAGAGTGGGCAGAAGTTAAAGGGCCAGAGGAGTGGGGAAAATTAGGTTAGTAAGGGAGAAAAGTAGTAGAAAAAGGGAAAGGATTTAAGAACACAAAGATATAGGTGGTCTCAATTACAAAATTGACCCACTAATGTTTTCTACCACAACTTTTAAAAAATTTGATCCAACTAAACTAGCACATTTTCACCAACTTCAACTACTGAATCTGAATCACACTAGGCCAATCACTTTTTCCACACCACAATTATACATGCCTCCTTATCTGTTGTTAATTCATAAACATGCCACAGCATCTATGGGGGAGGCCCTTACTATTCCAGGTACTGGAAATACATCGATGAGACATGGTCCTTGCCTTTATGAAACATACAGTTCAGTAGGGAAGACAACATTTAAAATTCACCAGAAGACAGGACCATACATAATTACGGCCAGCATCTGCTGACAGCTAATCTGCATATGTCACTGTCAAGTACTTTGTATACATGATCTCATATCGTTCTCACTACAATTCTATGCATTAGGTATTATTATTATTTCAGTTTTTGAGATGAGGAAACTGAGGCTTGGAAGGTTGAGGGGCTTGCCTAAGGTCATGCAGCTAGGTTTTGAACCCAGCTGATCTTAGAAGCTATATTTTATTGCCTGATAGCAGCAATAAGTAAAATGTATTTTGGAAGCTATATATAAAATTCATGTAAAAGTAGTGAGTATGACCATCTTTGCTGTTGTCTGAGAGTCACATGTAGACATTGTGTTTTCTCAAGGAGCAAACAAAGAGAAAATAATTCTCTTCTGAGAGTGCCCCCTTGGCGCTCCCTACTCGTTTCTGATTTTGCCACGTGGTTGCTGCTTCACTGTGGTTCTAAAGACCAAAAGAGCCCACCTTGGGGAAGCAGTTCCTAATGTTCAACACTGTCTCCTTGATCACAAATTTGGATTGATTGCTATCTGTTTTAGTTTAGGCTCCCTTTTAAGATAAAGATAAATGAACAATCTCAGGTGAATTATAGCAGAATCATATCCAGTTAAAACCATCACAGGATATTTTAAGAATGAAAGAAACCAAAGTTTCTTCATCTACCGAGTGTTTTCTAACAGAGAGATACTTGTGTATTCTTCCACGCAGGCCTAGCTCCCCTTCGACATAAATCCTCCTCTCATATAAGCTCTTGTCAAATGCCTTGGAGAGGAGTTAGAACCAAATTGTTCAACATTGCATTTTTTATTTGACTTGACACCCACTGTGAAAATAAACAAAGTGACTGGGGACGTTTTACAAAATAAACACTAAGTAGACATGGTGTTTCTGTGTGTGTCTGTCTTTCTCTCTCCCCCCATTGACATAGTACAGCACTGATCCAAGCAATTTTTCTTTATTGTTGGAATTGAATGCTACTATTCATCATCAGAACTAAATCTTTTGTTATTATTTTTTCTTCACAGGGTCGTCATGTCAAAACGGGCCAGCTTGCAGCCATCAAGGTTATGGATGTCACAGGGGTAAGTGTCTTTATTTTGCCATCTCAATAGCCATGCAGATGCTCCTTGACTTATGATGAGTTCACATCCTGATAGGCCCATCATAAGTAGAAAATATTGTTAAGTTGAAAATGCATTTAATACACATAACCTGTTGAACATCATAGCTTAGCCTAGCCTACCTTAAACATGCTCAGAACACTTACGTTAGCCTACAGTTGGGCAAAGTCATTTATCACAAAGCCTATTTTATAATAAAATGTTGACTATCTCATGTAATTTGTTGATTACTATAGCAAAAGTGAAAAACAGAATGGTTGTACAGGTACTTGCAGTATGATTTCTACCAAATGCATGTTGATTTCACACCACTGTTAGTCAAAAAAAATCGTAAGTTGAACCATTGTAAATGAGGGACCATCTCTATATTTGTAATAGAGAAGTTAATGATAGAAAAAAATTGTTTTCTAGAAAAATAATCTCCCTAAATATCTAATATCTTTCCCCACTTGTGGCTAACATAAGGAAGAGTATGCAGTAGCTGACTGAAGAGATCATGGGTACATCACTCTAATTAAATTTGATACCTACACACTGCCTTATGTAGTTAGAGTGAATACTGTTTGCCAATAATTTACATAAACACAACCACAGATATTTGCATATGAATGCAGAACAAGGATGTGAAGGTATTAAATGAATAATACTGAGATTATACAGAAGAAATGAGTCTTAACTGTTTTCCCAAAGGTCTGCCTACCACTGGAGTAGACAGGAGCTTGGATGGCTCTAAGATCCTAGTAGGATATTTAACATGAATATTTCCCAAAACAAAATATTACTGACCAAATAATCACAATAAACACAAATTCTTATCATTATAGAGCAACAATGAAACAAAATTTCTGCCTGGATAATCAAAAGCAATCTAAGAAATAGATTTTATTTTAAATACAATCTAATGTTTTCGATCCTTTTGCTAAGCCTACTTAAAATATTTTAATGCCTTTTCAAGAGTACACAGCAAAAATCTGACTCGAAAGGATTCACTGGACATCAAAGGCATGTTAATAATTTTCTGTTGTCCTGGGGATTTTTCTAAGATGTCTGTCTGCTGTACATGAAAGCTAAAAGACCAAAGTCTTCCATTCAGCCCAGAAGTTGATTATTCAATATAAATAGACATAGAATGAATGAGTCACACAAAAGAAAATAAGAAAAACAAATAAGAAAAAAATAAATAAATAAGAAAGACACACAGTATGTCTGTATGTCAAACTTCAACCCATACCTTTTGGGCTCACTTTGTTACCTTAGATAAGTATATGTTATGTGATAGTTACCTACCATAATACACGTTTCACTAATTATTGTTTACACCACACATTGTACTGACTTATTATTGATCTAAATTCCTCTTTAAGTTGTATATATTTTTGACCAGTAAAATATTTTGTTCCTGTATTTTTGTTACCATTTAGATAAAGTACTAATTCTTTTTATTTGTCTTAAATATATTATTTAAGTTTTAGGTATTACAAAAGTTCAAATTTTTAGTCCCAATTAGTTTATTAATTCACCTGGCCTTTACTGAATAATAAACTGTATGTGCCTTATATTAATTCAGTTTAAGAAAACGCTAAATAACAGAGGATTAAGCATAATAGAAGTGTCTTGCTCTCATGTTAAAGGAGTGTAAAGGTGGACAGCCTAGGGATGTATGTCAGTGATATGGTAGAGTGAAGGATGTTTTTATCTTTCTGCTCCATCATTCTAATGCATGGCCTCCACAGTTAAGGTTGCTTTATGGTTCAAAATATTTATTGGATTTCCACTGATCACACTTTATGGCAGGCAAAAAAGGGAGAGCAGGGGGAGCAGAAGGGTACAAATGAGCCCCTTCCAGTGAAATATTTTCTACTTCCATACAACATTACTACTTACTTCTGCTTTCATTGCCTGTATCTAGCTGCAAGGGAAGCTAGAAAATGTAGTCTTTTATTCTACTAATGTGTCTACTTAAAAATCCAGATTCTATCAGTCAGAAATGAAGGGAGAGTGGATACTGGAATGGTCGATTAGCAGGATCTGACACAAAAATTAAAATCAGATACTATCAGTCTCTACATAGAAACCCATTATAAACGTGTAAACATTTTACAAAGCTCCAACCACAGAACAAATCAGAATTTGTTTTGCAATTCAGCTGAAGTCATACTACTGTATTTTCCTTGGATTGAATAGGATCTCTGCATAATGAGATGAGCTTGGCAGTTTAACAATTAATGGTTGTGGAAGGAGTCCAAGACATTCATGCTGTATATTAAATTCTATTGTGTGGTTTTGAAGAACTACAGTTGAGAGTTCCACTGATGTCATTAATCTTGGGGCATAAAATGTGTGTTGATGTTCAAAGTATGACTCTGAACAATTTAAAGCCTCACAAGTAGAACCAGAAACTACTCAAGAACCACTATTGCTAGACCACCTTGCTTGGAATTAAAAGTTACACAGTTATTTTTCCCAGAACATGTATTTTCAGCTTAAGGAATGTCAGTTAGTCTTTCTAAACTGGGTTTCATTAAGCATCTAAGCTCTACAGAAGATGATTTGAGAGACTGCCTTCTCAGTTCTTCCAAGGAGGGTACAGAGGTAAGGCCATTTTACATGCAAAGGAGTGTCAATCCATTACATAGAGTGGATGCTTTATAGTATTTAGGCTTAATTCTCTTGGGGAACTCCTATTGAGGAGGGCTAGATAGTTTTTCTGTGATTCAGTCATGTCATTGATGATTATTTAACCACTGACTTTTAACGAAGGCAAACATGGATGCACATCAGGAAATGGTTTTCTTATTTTTGTGGTGTCTGATGTGGCATCAAGAGACTTTTGTATCACCCCCTTACACATCACAGTCAACATAAGATTTCCTTTGTGAAACTCACGTGGTGCCTTTAGAAGACAGTCTATTCTATTTTGCCATGTTGTCTATTGTGTATTACAGAATGCTGTAAAAGCTTCTTACCAATTATTATAATTGTACTCATTATGGTTGCTCTGTTAAAAAACTGAAATGAATTCTCAAAGGTCGTCTTTGTTAATTACATGCTATGACCTACTACAAAGTTACTATAGTTTATTGTTATAAAACTGATAAAGCCATAAGCTTGACATCAATTTTTAAATTATTGTTTTTATTCTATATCACTTCCTTTTTGGTATAAAACAGCCATTGAGAGAACTGGATATAATGCTTATATCCTTCCATTTTTAGAGCTGAAACACTTCCAAATTTGCCAACATTTGCTTCAGAATTTGTGCTTAAACTCAGAGTAGGCCTTGAAGATCTTATAGTTTGAAATCATTATGGAAATTTCCCCATTTTGTCACAGTCTGGGATTTACCTCTCAGCTGGATTTTTGCGCTCTAGATTGACCTACGGCATCTAGGAGGAGCTGGACCCTCCCAGGTAGTGTTTCTTAAAGTGGACCATCAGCATCAGTGGGCAGTCAGCACCTCTGAAGTACTCATGAGAAATGCAAATTCCTGGGCCTGCTGCAGGATTTCTGGGGTAGCCTCAAAATCTGCCTTTTCTGTAAACTCCTCAGAGTGTCACACACATCAAAATGAGAGTACCACTTTTCTAGGGTCTTGTATTTACTTCTTTCTGGCCACCAAGTGTGAAGGAGCTATGGTTTTTTGTGGGGTTTTTTTTTTGATAACCCTGTAAATAATCCCCATTTTCATTTGGATAAAAATTCCTAGTGTAAAGTAGTCCCTTTACAGTGACACCCTGAAGTGCATATAGGACTTAATGAAATACTAATATTGTAAGCTTTTGCCTTTACAATGACTGGTTGTGATTACACTACTCAGGACATTTGGGGTTGTAGTACCAAACCGCCACTCAAACTGAATGAAGCTGAAAAGGGAATTTACTAGCTTGTATGAATTAAAACAACAAAAACCTCAGCAGGATGCAGAGAAGTCACCTAACATGATCAGGATTTTGTCTCTCTCCATCTGTGGGCTCTGCTTTCGTCCCAGCAGCAGCTGCAGGCTCATGTTTTCACTACCTCATTGCCATTGGTCCCAGCAAAGGTGCCAGTCTGAATATCAGTGGTCCAGCTTGGACCATGTCCCCATCCCTGGGCCAATTCCTTACTCTCCAGTCCACGCCTGGGCTGGATGCCTGGCTCTGGAACCTACCGCAGGGACTGAGAGTTGGAGAGAGTTGATTTCTCAAAGAAAAACCTGAGAGTTATTATAGAAAAGAGTGGGAAAGATGCTGGGTGGGCAAAAACAGGAGAATTCTATGACTATAATATCATATATTATAGTGAGTGTGTTCAAAACTGATTTGGTCCTTAAGTAAAGTGTTTCTCTAATTACATTTTTTATATTCCTATCAAAAAGAATAATAATGGTAGCTAACACTAAGTGAGTGATTACTACGTGCCAGAACTCTTTAAAATACTTTCTATATATTAATTCATTTGATCCTTTCAGCAGCTAACCAAGCAGGTTCCATGATTAGCCCCATTTTAGGATGTGAAAGCCAGGCATTTTAAGTATCTTGCTCAATGTAACATGGCTGCCAAAGGAAGGAGTGAATATTTCAGCCTGAGCAATGTAACCCCATCCTTTAAGTCTATCCTCTTAACCACATTGTTTTCAGTCTTCAATTCATGTAGTGTTTAATTTCATGTGATTCTTTTTTCATTGATTTATTCAACAAACATTTACTAAAATCTACTTTATGATAGGCACTGGAAATTTAAAGATGAAAAAAATGGTCTTTTGCCTGCTCACAGTAACACAACCTTGCCCTAAATATTTATAAATAAAGCTTATACACTTTATAACAAGGCTGTAGAATGTGTAAATAACGTTACTTGTAAAGTTTGTCGGAACTGTGAGGAGACAGTCCTCACTGAGGAAGCCCAGGAGGACAGTCAGGTGAGGACATTCCAGCCAAGAATACAGCCGGTGCCAAGGCATGAGGCTGAGAGGGCATGTTCTGGAAACTGCACATAGCTTAGTTTCGAGGTTAAAAGTGCCAAGAAGGCGTTGATACAAGATGAATCTAGACACATTAGGAGGGGCCAGGTCATGAAGGAATTTAATACTGTGACAAGGAGTTTACAAGGTTTTTAATTTTTAGTTTTCTCAGTAGAACACTTTGATCAAATAGACTTAGAGAAAAACCCAATACATAAAAGAAATGTAAGCAGGTTTTCTTTTCTTTTCTTTTCTTTTTTTAAACCAAGGGTGGGAGACCGTAAGTCCTGGCTCCTTTCCTCAAACTACTACTAGAGCCAATGCAAGAGCCAGAAGTTGAACAGGAGAGTAACACCGTAGGATTGCCTACTAGGAGGATCCATGCTAAGCTCTGCTTCACTGAATTCCTATTTCTGTCTTACTGAATTTCTGTAGGTGAAGCTTATGACCAGCCTCCATCTCTTTCTGAAGAGTAAGGAAGTGGTCTTCTCCCAGTAGTAGACTGTTTTGCCCATTATTAAAGGGCTCAGTGAATGCTTGCTGAAATTGCACAAAAAGAAAAGAAAAATCTTTTCATCTTGGGTTGTTTGGAAGAGTAAGGTGGACACATTGTTCCAAGTACATTTGGTTCTTTCATCCCAAAGGGAGGCAGTTCAGTGGCATAATTAATAGTATGCACATAATATTGTTAATAATAATAATGACGATAGGCACAGGCCAAAAAGGGGCTAATACTGATTGTTTATCATGTCCCAAGCATTGTACTTAGTACTTAAATGAGTACTTAGTACTCATTTAATCCTTAAAACAACGTCCATTAGGAGAATACTGCTGGTATATCTATTTTACAAAGGAATTGACAGCAGAGAGCCCAAGAAACTTGCCCAAGCCTCATGGATAGTAAATGGCAGGGTTGGAATTCAAATCGAGCCAGTCAGGGCATACCCACACTCTCCACAGACATCTTATTATAGGATGAGAAATGAGAGAGTATTGCCAGAGCATGGCCTTCAGATTCAGAGAGAGCTGGGCTTATATTCCACTCATCTCCTTACTGATTGTGACCTTGGGCAAATTTTAACTTTTCTGAGCCACAGTTTTCTTATTGGTTAATGTTGCAAGCTTGTTTTGGGACTTAAATGGGATATATCTTGTACCTGACACATAATAGGTCCTCAATACATGATTTTAATGGTTAGTGCCAGTAAGGTACATTGAATCACTGAATAAGACAGACAATAGGAATGAAAAGATTTTAGTGTGCATTAAAATCCTGTAGTTGTATATTTTGATGACAGCCTGATCTGTGAACTACGTGCCAATTTGTGTTAGTTAATTGCTGATATGGGTAAATAGTTTGCACTCACCCTATCTTTACCACCTCAATTACAGAGTTGTTAGCCTTACCCTGAATAGTATGTAGCTGAAAAAAAATGGCTTACTAGAGCAGGATCCAGGAAAGAAAGTGAAGCTAGATTCCAGAGGCTGAAGGCTGAAATCACAAGATTTCATTCATTCATTTACTTGAGAATGAATGAGTGCACTGTGCTACGGAGTCATCCAGTGAACAAGACAGACATGGGCACTATCTTCTGGAATCTTATATTTTAGTACAAGACATTTAGCAGTTAAACAATAGCAGTCACAATTCTGATTAACTTCCAAGCAGTGTACAGAGTATGAAGAGAGAATTTAAGAAGAAACTGACCTAGCTGGGTGGCCAATAAATGATTTCTGAGAAAGTGACAGCTATGTGAGATCTACAGGACGAGTAGACCTTCGTTAGCCAAGTGAAGGGGTAGGGGAGGTGCACCTCCAGATTTGGGAGCTTGACCTTCAGGTGATGTCAGCAAAGCTTGGGGATTCCCATCTGAAGCTCCTTTGCCACAGAGGCCCTCTGGACAGCTCTTTGGGACTTTTACTTTGGAGCCATTTATGTAGATGTCTTTAGCAGACAGAACAGTCTGATCAAGCACATGGTCAAAACTTTCAACAGAGAAAAGATAAACAAATGGCTTTTTTTGTCTTCCTAATACCCTCCACCTTTGGGGCTATTTTCAGTGCTTCAATTCTGTATGCTATACAGCATGTAGAACTTGGAAAGCTTCTAGGGTTCTAAAAATGAACAACTGAGCTGCCCACTCCATGCACACTTTAGCATCTGTCCTCTTCTTGCATACAGATTAGACCCTTTTGGTGGCTTATGTGTGTCTGGGTCTCTGCGCATGTTCATGCATGCTGTGTGTATGGCCTGGATGTTGGGCTTGTTGTATGTGTATGCTCACATGTTAGATACATTGCTTAAGTGCAAAAAATAGGCCTGGGGGCTACTGTCTATACCTCCAAACTAATAAAGGTGAGCAATAGTTTTTAAAAATATTTTTTACATCATAATAGTTTATATTCACTGGTCCTTTTATTTGTGTACCTCAAAGCACTTGATCAAAATTATAATTAATTCCCTTAGCCCCCTAGTGGGGTGGAGATGCCTGTAGATGACAAAATTGGCATACAGAAACTGGGGTGCTTGGAATCACTGACGGGGCTGTTCAAAGCATGATTTCCAATCAAGTTCCTCAGTAGTGGAACACAAGGTCTCCTTCTGCAGGTCCGTCCTTTCCTTTATGCTGCCAACACTTCCCACCTCATATTCATTCCCCTCTTTTGACTTCACTAGGTCTTCTCTTGTTGAGCTCTGTTGCTCTTCTTTGATTTGACTTCCTCATCAGTATTTTGAATTTCTATTTAATGACTTGGGAAGTTCAGCTTTTATTTTTATTCATTTATTTTTCATTATACTTTAAGTTCTGGGGTACATGTGCAGAACATGCAGGTTTGCTACATAGGTATACACGTGCCATGGTGGTTTGCTGCACCCATCAACCTGTCATCTACATTAGGTGTTTCTCCTAATGCTCTCCCTCCCCTTGCCCGCCACCCCACGACAGGCCCCATTGTGTGATATTCTCCTCCCTGTGTCCTTGCGTTCTCATTGTTCAACTCCCGCTTATGAGTGAGATCATGCAGTGTTTGGTTTTCTGTTCTTGTGTTAGTTTGCTGAGAATGATGGTTTCCAGCTTCACCCATGTCCCTGCAAAGGACATGAACTCATCCTTTCTTATGGCTGTGTAGCATTCCATGGTGTATATGTGCCACATTTTCTTTATCCAGTCTATCATTGATGGGCATTTGGGTTGGCTCCAAGTCTTTGCTATTATGAACAGTGCCACAATAAACATACATGTGCATGTGTCTTTACAGTAGAATGATTTATAATCCTTTGGGTATATACCCAGTAATGGGATTGCTGGGTCAAATGGTATTTCTAGTTCTAGATCCTTGAGGAATTGCCACACTGTCTTCCACAACGGTCAAACTAATTTACACTCCCACCAACAGTGTAAAAGCTTTCTTGTTTCTCCACATCCTCTCCAGCATCTATTGTTTCCTGACTTTTTAATGATCGTCATGCTAACTGGCATGAGATGGTATCTCATTGTGGTTTTGATTTGCATTTCTCTAATGACCAGTGATGATGAGCATTTATTCATATGTCTGTTGGTTGCATAAATGTCTTCTTTTGAGAAGTGTCTGTTCATATCCTTCACCCACTTTTATTTTTCCTTCATTAAAAGTTCTTTCTCATTTGAAGCCTACTGACTTTAATAAGCTTTCAAGGCCAGGGACAGGAACTGTGCATTATCCATCTTTGCACCCCATGCAGAGCTTGCTAAGGTTGAACCTGGCACTGGCACTGGCACCTAGTAGGTGCTGCATTATGTGTTATATATGTGTATTATATGTATATCATTATATATATATACACATCATTATATATAAAATGATATATATCATTATATATATACACATCATTATATATATAAAATGATATATATCATTATATATAATATATATTATAATTATTACTAAATTATATATTACATATAATTATAATAATATATATAATTTAGTAATGGGTTTGCTGGGTTGAGTAAATGATTATTGAATGATTATATGAATATGTATTATATATTTTATAATATATATTTATAATTATATATTTATATAAAATATATATTTATAATTATATATTTATATAAAATATATATTTATATATTTAATATATTATATTAAATATAATTTAATATAATTAATACACTAATATAGTAATATTTTATATATTAATATGTAATAATTTAATATAAATATAAATATAAATATTTAATATTTATTATATATTAAATATATATAAAACATATAAAAATATATATTTAATATAAATATGTAAATATATAATATATAAAAATAAAATATATTTATATTAAATATATGTAATATATATCAAATATATATTTATAATATATAAAAATATGTATTTAATATATAATATGTAAATGATATGCATATAATACATGTATATAATATATAATGCATATATAGTGTATACAATGTAAAAATCTATGTAGAGTATAAATGCATATTTATGTAAAAATAAATATAAAAACAATATTAAGATTAGAAAGCCAGTTGAAGGAAAAGCAAATTGAAATTACAGGGCCACAGAGAACTTGCTAGTTATTTTTCCCAATAACCAAAGCCAAAAGGGGGGAACATTATAAAGTACACTGTTTATACTATCAGAAAAAAAAAAAAAAACTCATTCCAATTCCTGTGGGCTGTTACCTGAATTGTAAATCTAGGATCCTTGAAGATATAAGCCACGCCATTTATGGTAGACTTTAGCCACATGAGTGACATTATTGCTAGGTTTAAAACTTGTTTACTTCTGGGTTACTTGAGTTTGGGTCTTGTTAATTCGTGGTTTTCTTGGGAGTCATGCCTCAGTGCAGGCTTGGGTATGAGAAAGACATATGTCAACCTTTTGTTATCTACCCCTTTAGGGAACTCCACTTCATTGTAAGAGAAAGCAGGTTAGCCTACTGGCAAAGAAGAGCCCTGCACAGTGTCAGTCTCGTGGAATATCCTAGTTCTGACACTTCATGGCTCTCTGACCCTGGACATATTGCTTAATGTTCTTTATTCTACATCTATAAATGTGGATAATGCCACTTCTCTCACAAAGTTAGTGTGAGATGTAAATATATTAATCATTATTTATAAAGGGTTTCAGAACAATATGTAGAACACGGTATTCTGTGCCTATTGTTGTTATTATTACCAGGTCTTTTGCAGACAATTTTTATTTTTCTCTTTATGGCACCAAAAGCCTCCAAAGTAGACCACATGCTACATCCTCTCCAGCCACACGACCTTGGCAAACACTTTCTCTGCCAGGAAAATGTTTCTATCCCAATCACACTACATCACATTTTCTCTTTTTTTCTTCCCAATTGGGTAACTTTCACCTAGCCTTAAAAACTCAGCTTAAACTTAGGTTTCTTGAGGTTAATTAGATCAGCTACCACATACTTCTCATGGTCGTAATTTTGCATATATCTCATTCTTTGATTCATATCTGTGTCTTCCACTAAACTGTAGTAAGCTTCATTGTAGCAGAACTTGAATCTGTTATGCCTATTGTAGTATGATTATATTATTGACATTTACAATTATGACTGGAATATAGTAGGCACTTAGTAAATAATTCTTTTTTCTTCTTTACTTTTTTTTTGCAACTGTTATTTTAGACTCAGGAGGTACATGTGCAGGTTTGATGCTTGGGTATGTTGTGTGATGTTGAGGTTTGTGACAAATGATTCTGTCACCCAGGTACTGACCATAGTACCTAACAGTCAGTTTTAACTCTTGTCCACTTCTCTCCCCAGTCTAGTAGTCCCAGTGTCTATTGTTCTCATCTTTATGTCCATCTGTACCCAATGCTTAGCACCCATTCATAAGTGAGAACATGCAGGATTTTGTTTCCTGTTTTTGCATTAATTTCTTTAGGATAATAGCCTCTAGCTCAACCATGTTACTGAAAAGGACATGATTCCATTCATTTTTATGGCTGCATAGTATTGCATGGTGTATGCATACCATATTTTCTTTACCCAGTCCACCATTGATGGGTACCAAGGTTGATTCCATGTCTTTGCTATTGTGAATAGTGCTGCGGTGAACATGTGAGTGCAAGTATTTTTTTGGCAGAATGATTTGTTTGCTTTTGGATATATACCTAGTAATGGGTTTGCTGGGTTGAGTAAATCATTCTTGAATGAATTAATTTAACTTAGAGTTAACATATACAGCAAATCCAGGTGCTGCCTGCAGAATGTCCTGGCAAAGTCCTATCAATGCTAAAATGAAGAGGTAGGGACTTAGACAACTCGTTGGATGACTCTGGGTCTGTTTCCTTAAAACTATTTGATGTAATAGATTTATTACATCTAATTATTTATTACAATCTATTGTAATTATTTATTACAATCTAATTTATTACAGTCTGTTAGATGTAATCGATTTAAGGAAACAGACCCAAAGCTGCATAACTTGACCCTGAGATAATTTTAGGTGATTTACATGTTTAATTCTCATTTAATTTTAAATATATTTTAACATATAATAAACTGTGATTTAAAAAGCAGACCTCAAACTGTATGTTATACACCAACTTTGAACACACTGGAAAACGCCAGCCTGTTAATTTGTGCTGCTAGGTTACCCTATTCATGTGCAGAATGGCATTGATTGTGAAGATCCTACTAAAATTTCAAGGCATGCTCTTAACTATTTCAACTATTTATCTTAGGAAATGCAGATTTTTCTCCATCCTATAGAACTGAAAGAAAAATGAAAATTAATAAGATATTAGAGTTGATGTATAACTTTAAATTTCTTTCTAATTTTGTATTCACTAGAACAACTTCTTGTCATTGACTAATTGTATAAGTAGATATTGCTTTAAACAAATAAATGTTTACTGATTTTAAAAATTTAGTTTTTGTCAGCTATATATTTGCATCCTGAAAAAAACTTCTATTGCAGGGAGGGATTTCACTATTACAAATTATTTCAGAAGCTTTTTAAAAACCACATTCTATATCATAGTGACGATCCCTTCAAATTCTCGTAGCCTGTGATCCTTTAATGATAAAGTGTCTCCTACTTTTTGCCACATTCAGTCAATGCTGAAGGTGAGAATGACAGATAACACAAACACCTGCTTAATGGCAACAGCTGCTGTGAAAGCAGTGCAGATGAGCGGGAGCAGAGATGGTTCTAGCCAGTGTCCACACATCTATGGGATAGTGGCATTTATGAATCTATACACCTTATACTTCTCTCTAGACTTCTTCCTGACTAGTCTCTTAGACTTGCTGTAGGAATTGCATAGTTTCATTCCTCTGCCACGGATTGAGAGTTAAATGTTGGGCAGACTTTATTACAGAGCATATAACTAATATTAAATGTTTTATTCCATTTTTAAATGCTAGCATATCATAGGCACTTAAAGTGTGTTCCCCTGTGTAATAAATATGCAACTTAAAATCCCTTCTTTATTCCTTGAAATCAATCATAAGCAAATATTATTGTATGCTAACAAGCTCCTTTAATTGGAAGACCAAAGTCAGGGTTCTCTTCTGCCCTGGCTTAAGATGCTCTTAAACGCTTCCGATTAACGACTTTGGTTTTGGACACCATGGATAATTGCCCTTCATCTGACTAGTAGTTTTCTGTAAAGAATTAAGAATACTGGCTTTGGAGTCAGAGAAATCTGGTCTTGAATCTGAGGTTTAACATTTAAAGTATGAGTGAACTTGGGAAAGTTACTTAACTTCTCTGAGACTCATTTTACTCGTTTGTAAAATAGGATCCAGCTTCATAGCTGTTCTGAGTGCTCAATAAGATAGTTCATACATACCTCCTGGTACACAGTAAACATTACATGAGGTTTTGGCTTTGGCTATGTTTTATGACCACATGATGACAATCATGTTGCCATCAGAGGTGGTCAGTGGCTTAAAAGCATTAACTGGAATTATCTATTTCCTTGCATTTGAAAACTGCCTATCTTCCCATGATTTCTCATCTTCTAGAAGGTCAATCCCGGTTTCTCACATGGGGGTTGAAGGGTTGGTTCTCTGGCAAGCAGTAGGAGAGGGCCAGTCTCAAGGCATAAGTGCTTTTCGGGCCTCTGCTTCTTCATCCGATTTGCTAATGTCCCCTTGACCAAAGCAAGACATGTGGCTAAGCCCAGGTTCAAGGAGAAGAGAAATGGACTCCACCTCTTGATGCAGGTGGGACACATATCATGGCCATTTTCTTTTTCAGTCTACCACAAACACTAAGCAATAAGTAGATCCTGTGATCTTGAGAAATAATATTATCTTCTTTATATTAATACTAAAGCTACATTTAAATAAGCACTTAATCATTTCTAAGCCCTGAGAAGTAGCTTATATAGGTATTCTTATTCCTATTTATAGCTGAAAATGACTGACATTTGGAGAGTTTAAATGCCATGGCTGAGGTTAACATAATGAATATGACTGGATTTGGAAGTCATCTGATTTAAGTAATCCTTCTTCCTAGAGTACCGGACTTGGCTTATTGAAGTTACTCTTTTAAATGTGTGATAATTTGGTACCACTACTTTATTTTTCATTATTGCCCAGTGGTCATTAGTTTATCAGAGGGCTTGATCCTTGTGCTTAATACTTAAGATTTGGAAATAGTACATTTACAAAATAATTTACAAATAGAGGCTATTCAAATTCTCGTAGCCTGTGATCCTTTATGATAAATTGTCTCCTACTTTTTGCCACATTCAGTGGCAATTCTGCCACTGTGGGTGGCAATTCTGATAGGTGCTACAAAGGAAAAGATACATGATGATTCATGGGGCTATAACTTTTTCACTTATAACTTTTTAGTTTAATTCTAGCCTCCCTTGCTCTCTTTGCATTTTTGGAAAGCATTGTAACTCATCTCCCTTGATGGGCCATATTGTGAGAGGCTGAACTCTTTGTGACATGGTTAAATGAGTTCTTGTCTCATCTAGTAACGGTCTTCCTTCCTATTTCACTGAATAACTTACTGCCATCTGTGCCCTAGACTAAAAATCTGGATAAACAGTAGGCCCAAAGGCCTGCTAAATTGCATGCTGACTTAAAAAGTTGCGTAAGATCAAGGATTTATATTTTAGAACTACCTAACCATGTCTTACAGTGGTTCCATAACTGTGTTTGGAAACAGTGCAATTTAAACCTAAAATTCAAGTGATTTACATTTTGGCCTTCCTGCCCTTTTATTTATTTATTTTTTGGTTATGTAGATTAGTAATAACATTTACTTTGTAGTACACTTTATAACATACATCCGTTATCTAAGTACCACAAAATGCTGGGACTTATAATATCTTTATCTCATTATAAATGAGAAAACTTAGGGTCCAAAAAGATAGGCAACTTTCTTGGGATTCTGCAGCCAGAAAGGAATGGTACCCAAACTCAACATGCACCCCATCTGCCCACCCTCTTCTTTCTGATCCCAGACTCAATGCATATGCTGTCCTTATTGTCATATTGCCTCAGTTTACCTTTGCAAAATGATGGAGAATGTACTGACTTTATTCTGACCTCCAGTACTATTTATTTTGGATTTAATTACATAGTGCCTTCTGTTGTTATTTAACTGTTTTATAAGCTCTTATTTTCTTAATGACATGGTGAGCTTTTTATAGGCAGTCCCCCCCTCCCCTGTCTTTCCCACATCACCCACTATCCTGCTAAGAATCCAGGAGGCAAGCGGTAAATACTTGTAGAAGCAGCCTGATTTCTCACTAAGAATGACTGATGCTAAGATTGACAGGCTGCAGTTGGAAAGTGATCCGTGTCTTTTATTACCTCACGTAGTTGCCTTTTTAATGGAAGCAGCTGTCGATGCTGTGCTGCCCACAGAAACCCTCAGGTCGTTTTTCTCCCTTTCTATTTAGGCTTCCCCAAAGTACATCCGCTCACATCCTACATTCGTCCACAATTATTTGGCCCCATACAGCAAGTTTAAAAATAGCCAATGTGCACCATAGTAAGACATTGGAGGTGCGCTGTAGGGACCCTTCAACAAGTTGAGGGCTGGCGAAGGTCATTCTCTTCACGACCTGCAGTGAAGGCGTGGGGAGTTTCTGATGGCTGCTAAGAAGAATAGGTGGTCAGCAGTGTGCCTTCCCCTGTCTCGCCCCTTGACTCCCTTCCCCACTGTTTCGGCCACATGCTTCTCCTTAGCTCAGCATCCCAAGCATATATTCTATTTTGAGATTACCTAGTCTTCAGCTTAGTTAAGCCATGTGATATGTAACATGCTTTTACTTCTCCTAGGTTTGCAAATCCCCTTTGTTTTTTCCTAAAGCTTATTTTAGTAAATAAGCATGGTCAGCAAATGTCAGCACTTCACTATTCTCCTCACTCTATTCTTACCTGTTCCTTCTAACATCACTAATGCTGCTCTGGGCATTGGGCTCTTTGTAGTTATTTGTTCTTTTAGTTGCATTTATTCACAGGCACTGCTTGGTGCTAGGGATGTTGTAGAGAACAAAACAGGGAGGATTCCTGAGTTTACGGTTCTTACCGACTGATAAGGAGAGGAGACCTTAATCAAATGATAAATGTGGGTGGCAATTCTGATAGGTGCTACAAAGGAAAAGATACATGATGATTCACGGGGCTAGAACCAAACTGGGCAGATCAGGGAGCTTTGCTGGGGAAGGAACTGTAGAACTGAGATCTGAAGATCTGGAGAGGAGAGCTTACAATATAGGGAGAAGAGAGTCGAGTAATGGGACATACCTCCATACCAATGTCAACAAATACAGCAGGTATGTGAAGGAGTGTAGGGGCTATGACCAGATGCAGTGGGGGGACTTGACATTGCCTGAGAGAATTAAGGAAGAGATCCCTGGTGAATGTCGATTAAACTCAATCAGGAATGGTGAGTAGAGCTTATGTGAAGAAGAGGTGGGGGAAAGAAGACAGCACACGAGAGACTGCAGGAAGTCCCAGTAATGCAGAGACACTGGAAGGAGGCAGTGCAGCCGGAGTGGAGGAGGGTACAGACAGGGGACACCATGGGTAGTTTTTCAGGTCATGATAATGTCACATCTTGCACTCAGGGACAGTCATAGCTTACTGCTGCACCTAAAAAATTATCCTGAGGTAGAAACTTTCTCCCCCAACCTCAACAATAAAACACTCTTCTGCAGTCCAACCAATGTGTATACACATCAAGAAAATAAAATTATGGGAGGTCACCATCTCCACCAGCACTGCCAGGACCTCTGAAAAGGGTCCAGGTTGGTGGACTCCAAATCAAAATTCATAGTGAATGAAACCTGAATATTAAGAAACTAACTCTGTAAGAGAGTTGTCTCTTTTTACATCCTCAGTACCACCACATTTCCCCCTTTCTTTCTAAGGTGAGTTTCCTGAAGGTGAGGTGGGTACTCCTGCTTTGTGAACTTCCTTAGATCTAGAGAACTTACCTTTGCTCCTTTTCCCATCTGACTTTCATCATCTTCAGTCAGGTACTTCAATGAAAGGAGCCTTCAAAGAAAATGAACCTAACAAAATTTAAATCTGAGCGCCCACGGTTTTAATATCTTTCATTTTCCTCAATCTTTCTTATACCAGATAGAATCAGTAATAGCTACTTGATGGATGTAGTTCCCAGAGGCCTACAGTGAATTTTCTCTCGATAGTCTTTCTACCTTGATCTCTTCTAGGTGAAGAGATGAGGGATTGTTTTGGATGTTTTTGTTTTGTTTTCCAAGAGATTGTGCTATGCCAGTTTGCTGTACAAAAAGAAGAGTCTCTTGGACAGCCAATGTATTATGTTTTAGAATTGTTCTTTGCCCTCATATGTAATAATTATGCTCATTTGTCAACAAGGAAGAAAAAACAAGAAAAAATTTAGATGGTGTTGAAGAACAGAATCCTACTAACAACCATAGATTTTCATGACAGAATTTTTATATTGTTCTCATACAGGATGAAGAGGAAGAAATCAAACAAGAAATTAACATGTTGAAGAAATATTCTCATCACCGGAATATTGCTACATACTATGGTGCTTTTATCAAAAAGAACCCACCAGGCATGGATGACCAACTTTGGGTATGTACTGCCGTCCAAATTTGCTTTATTTACATAAAAAACAAACACGGCCAAATGGTTCATTTTTCTATCCTCATGACAAAATTTGATTAACTCCTTCTTTAACCATTAGCCCCCATGATGTCCGTAACATATTGTTTTCAGGGTTTTCTCCCATTTCCTTGAATATCTGTCTTTTCAGGATCTCTAAATGTTCCTTCTATCCCTTAATATGGACCATCCCCAAAGCCAATTGTTAAGTTCTCTGTTTTTTTTTTTTTTTTTCACTAATTGACAACCTTTTATTGTGTTTTATTTTAGGTGCCTTGGTATTTACATTTTATGAATTGTATCATTTATTTTGCTTCTTTGAGTTAGGTATTATTCTTTCCCTAATTTCTTGAATGATGCAACTAAGGTTTACAGAAAAAATGAATAAACTGTTCCAAAGTCTACATAGCTAGCAGGGATGGATCTAGGATCTAACCAAGCTCTATGCGATTCTCTGTCTATCGCTGATGAGTGGGCGACTGAAACATAAACTTTAACTCTGTAAGTAAAATACCTAATACAGTGTCTGGTACCAAGTAGGGACTCTGCAAAGGTTGTTTTCCTTTCATGTTTCCCCTAGTCCACTTAGGTATGTGCCACAGTCCTTTATCTTTGACAGTCTAAGAGGCAGCTCTAATTGGCTGTCCCACCAATGAGTTTACTGTGTTTGATACCAAAGCCTGTTGCTGCTGTGCGGAGCCTTCCTGGTTTCTGTCCTTGGAACTTTTATTCACTTAGTCCTTCAGCAAGATTATAATGCTGTATTGGTTTGGCCTTCCCTTGCCAATTTTATAATTACCTCCCTAGTATGGGCCCATTCAGTGGAAGCCTGGACTTTACAATGGCCTCCTATGTGTTGATCTACTTTTCTTTCACTCTTTCTTCTTCCCTCTACCTTCTGTCCTTCCGTCCCTCCTTCCCCGCTTCCTCTCTCTCAATTTCTGTTCATCCCACATGTCGTTGTTATATTAATGCTTCTAAAAATACCTTTTTAACCTCTTACTGTCTTGCTCATTTTCCAGAGGTTTTGTATGTGCCTAACACACAAAATTTACTGAATTAGCAAGAGCCTACTATATGCCAAATACTGTGCTGAGCTGTGTGGATCCAGTAATGGCTATTTCATGGAGAATTCCCAAAGTACTCAGCCTCGGGCAGAAGTAACTATTTTAATGCATCAGACATTTCCAATCCAGTGGGGAAGACAGAATATAGACAGTGAATGCAATCAGTGACCAAAAAAGATATAAAAATGTTAGCTCATAAAACTAACAAGATTTTCATGTCATTTAATATGAGTACTCAATCTTTGGAAATGAAAAGAACCATTGGGATTTTTTTTTTCCATAAGGCTCATCTCCAAATTTAAAAGAAAAATTATTTGGGGGTAAACACATTTTATATAGTTTATATAATTCTAAAAAAGTTACAGTAGGTTTTAATTGTGGCCTCTAAATGTATAATAGATGTAAATATGAAGATTCAACATATAAAAGTAGTGGGAGAAAATAAATATGACTGGATAATCCTAAAGAGAGATATATGACAACAAAGGGATACACCATAAAATATAATTTTGATGGACTTGACTATATACATGTTTTAAATGTCTTCTTAACAAAAAACATAAAGTAAAAATGCAAATAACTAAGTAAAAATATTCATTTTATAATATAATGAGCAAAGAATTTAGCAGCCTTCAGAGATGAAGCATTTTTATAAATCAATAGGAAAAACATGAAATTACTAATAGCAAGATTGAGTTAAGGAAATGGTTACAACCAAAAAAGTAAGCAATATCAATTATCAGTAAAGTTGTATTAAAAGCCTATTCTTACTAACAATAGAAATCCACAAGAAAAAAATAGATACCATTTCTTGCCTAGTAGGCTGTCAAAGATTTTTTTTTAATTATAATGTCTAGAATGGACACTCATACCCACTGCTCATGGAATGAACACTGGTCCAACTTAAGGGCAGTTGGCATACACACACACACACACACACACACACACACACACCCCTTCCAAAGCAAACACCTTACTTTTGACTCCCTATTTTCACAGGCAGGAATATGTCCTAAATCAGGTCACTTATTTAGGTAACTACATAAGGATGTATGTAGAAGTTAACCAATAGGGAGTCACTTACGGGACATTGCAGACATTTAAAATGATGTAGCTCTGCATTTATAAATGGATAAGCATTAACAATTTTAGTAGGGGCTGGGTGCGAGGGTGGCTCACGCCTGTAATCCCAGCACTTTGGGAGGCTGAGGTGGGTGGATCACTTGAGGTCAGGAGTTTGAGACCAGCCTGACCAACATGGTGAAACCCTATCTCTATTAAAAATACAAAAAAATTAGGTGGGCATGGTGGTGGCTGCCTGTAATTCCAGCTACTCCAGAGGCTGAGGCAGGAGAATTGCTTGAACTTGGGAGGCGGAGGTTGCAGTAAGCCGAGATAGTGTCACTGCACGCCAGCCTGTGTGACAGAGTGAGACTCTGTCTCACACACACACACATACACACAAAAATAAAATAGGACTTTGTAAAGCCTGTTGAAGAGGTTATAATTAGATATAGTATGTTTTCATTTTTGTGGAAAAAATACGTAGTAACTTGGTGGGGATATCTGATATAATGTATACTAATTGTGTTGAAAATATTTGAGGTAGTAATTTCAGTAATTTCATTTTAAAAGCATTTTTCTTTTTTACATCTGCTTTTTTTTTCTCTAATCTTTCTCTTCAGTACATTTTTTTTAGAGACAGGGTCTTGCTCTGTCCTCCAGGCTGGAGTGCGGTGGCACCGTGATAGCTCACTGTAGCCGTAAATACCATAGCTCAAGCGATCCTGCTGCCTCAGCCTTCTGAGTAGCTCTGACTGCAAGAGCACGCCACTATGCCCAGCTAATTTATTTATTTTTTTGTCTCACTTTCTTGCCTAGGCTGGTCTCAAACTCCCAGTCTCAAGCAATTCTCCTGCCTTGGCCTCCCAAAGTACTGGGATTACAGGTGCAAGCCACTGCACCTGGCCTGAAATTTCTCTTAAGTTCAGCATCTGAACCCTTTCTGCTGCTGCTTTTGTTATTGCTACCACCGGGCTGTTCTTGCTCCTCATAAAAGACTGTCTGCTCTCTGAGGGCAAGGATTGTGTCTTTTGCTTCCCTCTGCAGCATTTGGAAGGCACTGGGTAATATGCTGACAAAATCATTGGTTTATGAATGAAAATTATATTGTTAGAACAAAACCTGGTTGCAACAGGTACTTTTGAGAGCTCAGATTCCCTGAGGCCTGCAGATTCAACAGGATATGATGGGGTGGCATGAGTTAACATATCTTTGTGTTTCCAAAGGACTTCTACATTGTCAACAATTTAGCATTTTAGCAGTGACTCTGAATTGCCAGAAGCTGCAGCAGATGACACGTAGAGAATGATAGCTATTATCCTCCAGCTCATTATCAGCACCCTGGAAGTCCCCCTTGCTCTCCCTCTCAATCACTGCCACCTCAAGGAAAACGGGTATCCTGACTTTTTTTCTCCCAGTTGTATTAAGATATAATCAACAAATAAAAACTGTATATTGGCTGGGCATGGTGGCTCATGTCTATTATCCCAGTACTTTTGGAGACCAAGGCTGGGAGGGTTGCTTGAGCCCAAGAGTCTGAGACCAGCGTGGGTAACATAGTGAGGCCTCATCTCTACCAAAAAAATTAAAATTTAAAAAAAAAGAAAAAGAATTTGTATATTGTTGGTGAGGATGTAGAGAGAAGGGAACCCTTGTATGCTGTTGGTGGAAATGTAAATTGGTACAGCCATGTGGAAAATACTACAGAGGTTTCTGAAAAAATTGGAAATAGAACTACCTTATGATCCAGAAGCCCCACCTCTGGATATATATCCAAAGGAAATAAAATCAGTATCTCAAAGAGGCATCTGAGCTCCTGTGTTCATTGCAGCAATATTTAGAATAGCCAAGGAATGATAGCTATTTTATAGTTGTCTGTAGAAAGGTGTTTTCTTTGGTCAGGGCTATGGTTCTCAATTTAAAAAAAAAAAGCATTAATGTAGATTTATAACCATCTCCCAGCATATCACCTGAGCTAGAACAGCTATTTCTAGATGAGCCACACCTAGCTATTAATTTCATTCATTTTGTGAGATGGGCCAGATAGAAAAGTTGGTTTTCATGTTAAGTTGAATTATTAAAATTGGGGTAATTGGGGTGTTTATTTACGAATCGTTGGTTGAGGGAAGGAGAGGGGTGGTTAATAGGGCTTGACTCTTTTTCGCCCTTTTGCAGATCCTGAGATGTTTTAAGTTGGAAGAAGAATTAGTCATGATAAACTTTGCTGGGTCCAGTGAAGTTAATTGACTTTCCCCGGGCCTCAAAACTCATTAGTGGATGATGCAGGACCAGATTGCAGACATCCTAAAACATAACACTTTAGCTTGGTTGGAAGTTCTGTGAAAGCCCCCTGGAAGTTTTTGTTAAAAACTGAGCAAAATCTTCAGTCCATTTTCAGATAGGTACTTGGAGAAAGCAGCACACCTGCTGGCATCTGCATGGTGTTAATGGGAGGTATTGTACTCTGGAAATGAGTCACTTCCCACTAGTTCTCACCCTGGCCAATTGCTCTTCTCATGGAGATGGCTGTTGTTGCTGGGAACCAAAAGCCTGATGTGTATGTGTTCATTTATTTACTCCCCAGTCATTCATTCATTCTTCCATATATATATATATATATACACGAACATATATATCTCCATATATTCATTTATTTGTCTGTGTGTACATACATATGTATATGTATATATTATCATATCATCATATATATACATGGCTAGTATAGATACATATATATACTGGCTAGGCACAAGGCACTCTTCCAAGCACTCAGGATATAACAGTGAACAAAATTTATGAAAGTACTTATTTTAATGCAGCTTACATTCTTGCTGTAGACTACAAACAATAAACATAATAAATAAGACAATTACAGAGGATGCTGGAAGCTAGTAAGTACCTGGTGGAGTACTAATTGGGAATGCAGGTAAGGGTTGCAATGTGTTATGGACTAAACATTTGTGTGCCCCCAAAATTCATATATTGAAATCCTAACTTTCAATGTGATGGTATTAGGAGGTGAGGCCTTTGGCAGGTGATCAGGTGATGAGGGTGGAGCCCTTATAAATGGGATTAGTGCCCTCATAAAAAGAACCCAGAGAGCTCCCTTGCTGTCTTTCTGAGAAGTTAACAGTCTGCAACCTGGATCCAGATCATTCAGGGCTTTGCAGGCCATTGGAAAGACCTCGGCTTTTACTCTGCATTAGGTGGGAGAGCCATGGAGGGTTTTGAACATGGAGTGAGGGGGATGGGATCTGACCCACATACTGAAGGGGTCACTTCAGTTGCTGGCTTGCGAATAGACCAGATGGGTCAAGGAGAGAAACAGGAGACCAGTTAGGAAACTGTTTTAGTAAGTGAATCCCCTTCCTGAACTTGATGAAGGGGGGATCTGCAAGTAGTGAGCACTTCCAAACTGGACCACATGGGGAGGAATTCTGCCATCACATTCAACTTACCCCACTTCAATTAAATGCAATTAACTGCAGGTAACAAAATGTGGAAGTTACAGCTCCTACATTCTGCCAGGTTTGAAGGACAAAGGGCCTAGCACTCGTCAGACTCGCGTCTATGCAGAGGGCTGCTCTGACCATCCCTTCTAGCAATTGTCTAGTAGCTTCTTTCTTACCAAAGATGAAGATAAAAGCTATGAAAGGCCTCATAAGGGCAAGAGCGTCATTTCTTTTCCTAGTTGATTGATGTGGTGACAAATCAAGAAAGAACTAGGAAGAAGAAAGACAGAAACATAATAGTTAGGAAATTAATATCAGATTACAATATTGGTGGGAACACAGTCATAGAATATAACAGTACATACTTATTCCAAGGCCTCTGACTCACTAAATTTGGGGCATTCTCTGTTAATAAGAACAATGGTAGGAAATATTTATCACCTGCTTACCATGGGCCAAGTACTATGCTTGTTTACTTTGTCATATTATCTTATTAGATTTTTGCAGCCATTCTGCAAATCAAGTATTATCCCTACTCTGCAGATGGAGGAAACTAGGCTCAGAGAGTCCAGAAGTTTGTCCAAGGTCTTATAGCAAGTCCGTGATGAAGCCAGCATGCTAGCTAACCCCAAGCTGTCTGATTCCAGAATCAAGCCCTTAAACCCTACACTCTTCTCCTTTGGTCATGAAAAATAGTTCTGATATCAGAAGCTGATGTTCTAAATAGGATTGAAGATTTATGTTTAAATAAATTTAGTTTAACTTCACCTTTAATCTGTACTCCTCTATTTACCCAATATTCAAAGAGCAAGTAAGACCTGTTAGCTACTAATAAGAGTGCTGTAAACTCTAAGAAATACATTTTGAAAAGTGCGTTAGGTGCTTTGGGAATGTTTTATCAAATAATTGCAAAGGTCATAGATAGTTGACTCTTCAGACTAGTGGCATTTTGTTAGGATTACGTTTGTATAAAAATATTATGAATTATATAGAGGCATGGCCTAAAGCAACTAAAAGCAGCACTTTCTAACATTTATTCTCTGTATTCAGACTACATGAAATATTCCCCAGATATTTATTTTGCTATGGCTGGAGGACAGGTTTGCATATATCCCACTAGCCAATGTATGTCCTGTTTCAGGTGTCTGATTGAATTATAATCTGTACGAATCCTATCAGTCTTGTTGTAGAGATAAACTCTTGTTTAGCACTAGCTCTTTGTGGAAATACAACTACTTCAGATAATGGCCAAGTAATTCTCCTTTATCAACTGCTCAGGGTCTGATCCGGAAATCAAAAAAGGGAGCCCTTTCAATAAAGATTCTGATCTCTCGGAAACAAGGCAAGCTCTGACACACAACATCTCATTCTGCTGCCTATCAGTGATGAGAGGCTCTCCATTTTGCTGCATGCCATTCAGACACTGGGAGGGAGGGAGAAATACTGTTTAGTAAATTAACTAATTTCTCAAAAATTACAATGTGAACTCACACATATTTTGCTGTCTTTTTTGATACCACCATAATACAGGGCTAGAATATCTCGTAACAGGAAATAAATTTGTAATCATCTTCTGAAATGTAGGGTGGTCAAGTAAGATAGCAGATTTTTGCCCTGTAGCGGCTCAATAATCTATTCATCAAGTTTTCACACGGTACACTTGCAGAGCCAAGACTTAAGAAATTATACCGTGTGCGTTTTAAGGACAAAGATTCTGACAGCCTGGGAATCTGGAGACCCAGAGTCAAACCTCGGGAGAACCAATGTGTCTGGCATTTGGATTCTACTTTATAAAAATGATAATATTAGACTAGTTCTTAGTTGGCAAACTGGCAGCCTAGAGGCTAAATGCTGCCATGATAAATATGTTGAGTTTGGTTCACATAAGGTGGTGGTGGTTTAATTATGCCAACATTAGAAAATTTGAGCAGTTTCACAGAAAAGTCTGGATTCTTGAAAAGTTTTGAAAAATAAAATGATCTAGAAATATTGGGCCTGAAATTTCAAATAGTAGCAGTATTTTAGAGCAGTGTACCAGCTGTTTAGAGGGCACATATCAAATTTGCACCAGAGGCCCCAACATCCCCTGTTGTCTTCCATACATACTCAATTTCATGTATTCACATTACTTGCCCAGCCCCTGTGTAAGATCGTCTCAGAATAAGATACTGGGATGAACTAAGAAACAAACTCATTCAACTACCCATGAAAGGTCCTTTTTAGACTCTGCATTGATGTTGGCCACAACTCCTAAACCTAATTCTGCAGTATTTTGGATTTACATTGTTATAGCGTCTTGGCTTGGTAAAAATAATGCCCACTTCAATTTTGATTGTTTTAACATTTAAATGTTAGGTACTGCAGATAATGCCATTAAAAATTTAACCACCCTTGTGTGACGTGGAGGTTGTAGGAAAAAAAAAAAATTAACCACTCATAGCTGAATCCTTTGAACAGTTAAAATTTATCTTTTGTTAATGCTGTGTATCAGAAATGAGGCTTTTAAAACTTGTTTTGATTAGTGTTTGTTACTTTTATAAGTAAACAGCTCCTTTCCTTCATATACAGAGCCTACGTCACTTGTCTGGAGGAGTTATTTAGTCTTGTTATTTGTGAGCAGAAATTTTTAAAAGGTTGAATTTGGCAAATATAGATATGCCTAACATGGTAAGAGGAATGATTGTAAACAGTCTCCCAGTTTCAGAGCTGCCACATTGCAAGACCTATAGAGACACAAGGTAAGTTACGTAGATACAAACACAGATCTGAAGCTACACGTAACTTAATACCTTGCAACTGGTGTGTGTTGAGCTTTAATAGAGCTATTTTATGAATTAATGGGTGATTCTTTGATAAGAATGTGCAATTGATCTCTTCTTTTGTCCCAAAGAATTTCATTTGAACTTTGTTTAAACTTCTTTTCATCTAAGCAAAAGGAAGACTTGATATGTACCCAAAGTTATTTTGCTAATGGTCCATACAACCCTTTTGATTCCTTTTTTTAGATAACTTTTGAGCCAAAGTCTATGTTCCTATTTATATTGTGTTTCTCAAAATCTTCAGCAATCAAGATGATTAGTCCTAAATGCTCTAAAGCTAGCAATTTATTTTCTTTTCCTATTTTCAACCTGTCTGAAAACTGGCTCACCATTCCTCACCCCACATTCTTCTATTTGGGTGTAACATTCCGAGATGCAGAGTTGCAAATTTCTTCAACCTTAAAGTTAGCTTCTATGATTGGATCTTTGGACAAAATTGACATGTAGTGACTTACTCCTACCAAAAAAAAAACATATATATATGCAGAAAATTTTGCATTCATACTGTGGAATTTGAGTCCAGACACCAAATACAAGATGCAGCTAATGTCCGTAACGTTTCTTTAAATGCTATCGTACTGACTCTGGGTTGTCTGTCTCTTGAGACATAGGCGACTTGAGCATTTGTAGTGGGCCTGTCCTTTGGGCAGACTTGTTGTTGCTAAAAATACTAGTTGGCTCGGTATATTCAAACTGTCTTTGCCATGTTCAAGGTAGAGAGTTGTTCACTATCCAGAAGCTTTATTACAAAGTCTAGGACACTTCCCATCCTTGGAACTCATCTTTTTGTCTTTGGAAGTCTTAAAATTTATAGTTCAAGCATTCTCTTTCCCAGTCGAAAAATATAATTCAGAAGCCAAGAGTTTATATATAGATAGATAGATAGTACATGCTAGTTTAAAAATGAATGTAAAAGGCCATTAAAGTTGCTTTTTAAGGTTTGAAATCCCCAAGCTTTACTTCAATTGATTGAAATGATACATGTATTCAAATGTATACCTACCAATTTTTGTATTTTGTATTTCTATACACACATTTTATATTTTGAGACTTAACCTACCTTTTGCACATAAAGCAGCCTTCTGTACCAAAGTTACTGAGTTTGGACTTTGTTTCCACCATCATAAATCATGCAGATGAGATCTGTGGTTATTTTCAGCCACACATGATGAAAATACTCTGTGCCTCATTGATGTTTCTGGGTTAAATCTTTGCAGAATTGTGTTCTTGGAAGTTTGTTCTTCCTATTATTTATTTTTATTTATATTTATTTATTTATTTATTTTGAGACGGAGTTTCGCTCTTGTTGCCCAGGCTGGAGTGCGATGGCTTGATCTCGGCTCACCACAACCTTCGCAGCCTGGGTTCAAGCAATTCTCCTGCCTCAGCCTCCCGAGTAGCTGGGATTACAGGCATGCACCACCACGCCTGCCTAATTCTGTATTTTTAGTAGAGATGGGGTTTCTCCATGTTGGTCAGGCTGGTCTTGAACTCCTGACCTCAGGTGATCTGCCCACCTCGGCCTCCCAAAGTGCTGGGATTACAGGCGTAAGCCACTGTGCCCAGCCCCTATTATTTTCTTAGGGTGCCTTTTAAACTGCTTGGTGCAAACCCTTCTCACTTTAGGAAGACCTTAATCTTCCCGCTTGCACCTCTTCCTGCCCCCTGCCTCCAACCCCTCCTTTTACCATAAAAGAGAAGGGATCTGTTAGTAGTCATTTATTCTTGTGGGTGACTGACTAGTGACATTTGGGAGGAATTAGTTCCTGTCAGGGTATTCTGGGTAAGTATCTGCAATTGTGAAATAACATCCTAAGAGTTCGTTTCTCATTACAGGAACTTAAAACCAATAAACTAGCAAGGGAGTGAATACTTTAGGGACCCCAGGAATCATCCAAACCTTTGACTGCCTTTGAGACTAAATCTTTTAAAATTCTTTTAGAGGTTATTAGGGCAGGAAAGGGAAGTTTAGAAGCCACCACATCTGGTGATTCCATGCTAAAGGCCCCCTGTCTCTTGTGAAGAGATAACCTCAAGCGCTGACTCAGTATTCTGAAATGTCTTCTGGAATCAGCTGAGGCTGAGGACCCTTTACTTAAATATTGTCCTGGAGAGGGGAGAAGCACAGGAAGGCATACTAAGTAACCCCTGACCAACCTCTATGAGAAAACATCCTACGAGAAACATGACAACTGACAAAAACTGCTGACAATCAACCATGCAAATTGTGAAGTGTCAGAACTCTTTGGCTTTTAAAAATTAACCTTTGTTATTTAGATAGTAATAATTACCCATGTCTAAATAATCCAAGCAATTCTTTTCTCTAATAAGTTGGTTGCTCCACACTGTGCTTTTTTTGGACACCTCCTCCAGGCTCAGGCCTAGTCCTCATCCTGCCCCCAACCACCTTCAACTTGACCTTCCTTCTTTCTTCTCAAGTGGTATGCATGTTTATTTAAGTTTCTGACCCAGTTATTTATTTAGGCGGTGTTGAGTGAAAATTTCAAATGTTAGATTCCTTTAAAATTCCTCCACCCCCTATCACCCCTGCCTTCCAAATAAAAAGATCCATTGCCCTGGAATGCACCACTGTGTCTTCTTGCTGTGTGGTACAAATGTAAAACAAAAACAAAAACAAAAACATGTGTCTCTGGTGCTTTTTCATTAATAGAGGTTTTAGAAAAATGTGCCCAGTGCCTTTTACAAATATCTTTCAGCCCTGTCTCTTCACCATCCAAGTGAAGTGGACACTGGGGAGGTATTGATGCTATCTTCCATGTCAGAAACTCTTTCTTTTCGCATTTTTATAAATGCAAAATAGACCAAAGAATAGAAACATCATAAATACATCTTGAGATTTTTGGCTGCTAGCAGCATTATATCCATAGTCACAATTAATGTTCACATCAAACCTGTAAGGTTGATGCTTTTATTTTGTATTTTATCATAGTGGTAGTGGTGGGGAGAGAGACATTGCTAAGCCCAGGGTGGTTAGGGAACATACCCAAGGACACATAACTAGTAATTGAGAGAGCAACGTGCTTTCACCCTGCTCAAGTTACTTAATGAGTGTAGACTATGGATAAAGTGCAGACTGTAAGCTCTATTTCCAAATACAGAAAAAGGAAGTTAGGTGAAGAAGAATTAACGAAGCATTTGTAAATCGCTTCACCCAGTGCCTGGCACATGGTAAATTCTCAGTAAATGTTAGAAAGTATTATTATCCCAGTATAAACTCTTTGAGAACTTTCTTTCAGGGAGAATTTTAATGACCCATTATTTCTTACTAGTGAGATGTGAAGTTATTGACTTATCACTGCTGAGCTTGGCATGTTGAGCTCTGTTTCTGTTTATTAATGTGATGAGGTTACTTATGGGGAGGGAGGATCCCTGCTGTGTGGTGGCGGTAATTATCAGCATTGCTGTGTGGCTGTAGGAACCAATTGCTAGCAAGTGCTGTTTTTTTTCTTTTTTTTTTTTAAATCCCATTATATAATTTAACAATCATTTTGTTCCATAGTGAGAGGAAAAGAATTTAGCAGCCTTCAGCTGGAGCTGAATGGGAAAGCAAATTATAGAAATCACTGACAGTAGTGCCTGGCTAGAGTAGGATTGTTTCCTACTGAATATTTGAAAGTATGTTGTCCAATCTAATTTTGAAAGACTCGAGTCACTGGGCTTCCATTGCCTTCCTTGGGAGCTATAATTACATGGCCTAATAAAGCTCAGTGGTGGGACATTTTCCCCAGCTGATACAGGAGCAATGGATGTATTCACAGGAGGCCTGGTCAATGTACTTTTCAAAATGGGATTTAGAGAAGGGACACAAACATGTTTTGCTCACTCGGGAAAATATTCATTTCCTGCTATCAAAAGATGTTTCTTTGGTCCATCCTGCTGGCATTGAACCCTGATTTGCTATATAATGGGACTTTCTTTAACTTTGTATTGTGGAGAATCCTAAAAATACACAAAAATAGGCAGAACAGTATAATGAACACCTATGCACCCAAAACTAGCCCCAACAGCCTTTAATCAGTGGCCAGTTCCACCCCATCCACATGTCCATCTATGTTGCCCCTTCTAGTTATTTTGAAACAAAACATGTCATTTTTTAAAATTTTGGTAACATAAACATAAAATTTACCTAAATTTTAACTACTTTAGAATGTATAACTCATTATCATTAAATATAGTCACAATGTTATGCAACCATCATGAGTATCTAGTGCCAGAACATTTCCATCACCCCGAAAGAACACTGTGTACCCATTAAGTAGTCATTCCTGTTACCCCCTACACCCAGTCCCTGGCATCCACTAGTCTGCTTCTGTCTCTATGGATTGCCTATTTTGGATATTTCATGTAAATGGAATCATACAATATATGGCCTTTTTTGTCTGGCTTCTCTTTTTTTTTTTTTGAGACGGAGTCTGGCTCTGTCACCCAGGCTGGAGCACAGTGGTGCAATCTCGGCTCACTGCAAGCTCCGCCTCCTGGGTTCAAGCCATTCTCCTGCCTCAGTCTGGCTTCTCTTTTACTTAGCATAATGTTTTACGTGATTCATCCACATATCATGCATCAGTATTTCATTCCTTTCCATGGCTGAATAATATTTTATTGTATGGATATCCCACATTTTGTGTACCTGTTCTTCTGTTGATAGACATTTTGTTTTTTTCTGCTTTTTGTCTATTGTGAATAGTGCTACTTTGAACACTCATGTACAAGTTTTTGTTTGAACACCTGTTTTCAATTCTTTTGAGTATACTTCTAGAAGTGGAATTGCTGAGTCATGTGTCAATTCTGTGTGTAACTTATTGAGGAACCCATTAACTGTTCACCGCAGTAACTATACCATTTTACATTACCATTAGCAATGTATAGAGGTTCCAGTTTCCCCACATCCTCACCAATACTTGTGATTTTCTGCCTTTTTTCTTCTTAAATTAACATCCATCCTAGTAGATGTAAAGTGATATCTCATTGTGGTTTTGGTTTGTATTTTCCTAATGACTAATGACATCAAGCCTTTCTACATGTCATTGTTAGCCATTTGTATATCTTCTTTGGAGGAATGTCTATTCAAGTCCTTTGCCCATTTTTAAATTGGGTTGCTTGTCTTTCTGTTATTGAGTTGTAAGAGTTCTTTATATATTCTGGATAGTAGACCTTTATCAGATATATGATTTGCAAATACTTTTCCCATTCTGTGGGCTGTCTTTTCACAGTCTTGATAGTGTCCTTTCATTCACAAATGCTTATAATTTTGATAAAATTAATTTTTTCTTTTTTTTTTATTTTGGTGCTTGTGCATTTGTTGTCATATCTAAGAAGCCATTGCTAAATCTAAGGTCAAGGAGAGTTACCCCTATGGTTTCTCCTGAAAGTTTGATAGTGTTAGCTCTTATATTTAGGTCTTTGATCCATTTTGAGTTAATATTTTTGTATAGGGTGTGAGGTAAAGGTTTAACATCATTTTTTTGCATGTGAATATCCAGTTGTCTCAGCACTATTTGTAGAAGAAACTGTCATATAATTTTATCCATAAGTATTTCAGCATTTTTCTCTAAAAGATAAGAACTTCTTTTTACAAAACTACAGTACCATTATTACACTTTTAAAATACTGGCCAGGTGTGGTGGCTCAACGCCTGTAATCCCAACACTTTGGGAGGCCGAGGCGGGCGGATCACAAAGTCAGGAGATCGAGACCATCCCGGCTAACATGGTGAAACCCCGTGTCTACTAAAAATACAAAAAAATTAGCCGGGCGTGATGGCGGGTGCCTGTAGTCCCAGCTACTCGAGAGGCTGAGGCAGGAGAATGGTGTGAACCCAAGAGGTGGAGCTTGCAGTGAGCCGAGATCGCGCCAGCCTGGGTGACACAGTGAGACTCTGTCTCAAACAAAAAAAAAATTAACCAGATTTCTTGAGTATCATCAAATATCTAAGTCCGTATTCAGAATTGTAATTATCTCAAAATGTGTATATCTTTTTTTAAAAAAATTAATATCTAAATAAGGTGCACCCATTGCAATTTGTTGGTGTATCTAAGTGTTTTTAAATCTATAAGTTTTCTTTGCGTCTCTTTTTTTCTCCCTTGCAATTTATGTGTTGAAAAAACTCTTTGTCTTGACTAGTATCCTGGTCTAGATTTTGTTGATTGTATCCTCATGATGTTACATGTTCCTCAGTCCTCTGAATTTCCTGTAAATCAGTGGCTGGAGCTAGAGGCCTGATCAGGTTCAGATTTCTGTTTTTATTTTTGGCAGTACTACTTCCTAGGTAATATGCGTTCTTATACCAAAAGGCAAATTCTATTTACTTTTTTATTTATTTATTTTTTTCTATTTACTTTTTAAAATGTTAACAGTCATTGATGATCACTGCCTGAGTCTGCTAGCTTATTAGGAGGCACAAAATGGTGGCATTCTTCTACTATGTCTTCTTCATTTATTAGATGGAATACCTACTTTTTTATGAACAGAAACTTTCCCTCTTTTATTATTCAACTACCCAGTGGTAAGATTTGTATTAAAAAGGCAGTATAGACTCTTCAGTCTTTCCTTTTATTTGTCAGCTCTTAGTTAGTTTGTTATTTTTTTCTAACAGTGCCAGTCATATTCTTTGGGTGGTGGGGGATGACCTTGTTAAGGCATTTAATTAAGCACATTTAAAGTGTTTCTACACATTACAGCTATTATTCTTATCTATGCTCAGATTATCCCATCTTTCACCACTGGGAGTCTCTTGAAATTGAATCCTTTTTGACATGATTTTGTGGTCTTTGATAGTTTCTGGGCTATTACATATTGTAATTTCCCAACTTTTATCTGGTTGGAATGTAGTCTACTTGTGGCACTTCCCAAATTTCCCTATAAGCACTTATAGGTCTTGAAACTTCCTTGGCTTCTTGGAGAAGGTGGGAAGGTTTCCCTAGCCGTTGTGGAATCATAAGAAGACAAGTCAGAACAGGCTTTGGAAACTCACTCATGAAATGAGTTTCATGAGATTTTATTTAGTTTCTATTAGGTATACAAAGAAAAAGAAAATATAATTTCTGCCTGAAGATTTTGGAGCCTGATGAGGTATCTTTTAGGACCTGGAAACATAGTGCTGATATCAGGAATGTAGATTTGGACAAAGCCAAAGCCATCAATGTGGTTTTATTGTGGCTCCATTTTAGTTCTGTCTCTACTACTAAGTCAGGAATTGATTGCTAGTTATTCTGAATTCTTTTCATATAATTATAAAAAATATATAAGTACCTAATAAGGTGATCTTTGTTGAAGATATTTTTGAAGGTAAAAGTCTGGAAATGGATGTGTTTTTCTAAGCCTAGAAAATGCATGTAAAAGCACATAGATGGCTTTTTTCTCAAATGGTCTCTACATCCCCATTGAGTAAGGGTGATGTTTATTTTCTGCCTATTTTATAAGTTGCTAAGTAGTGTAATGAGTTTATATTTATAGAGTGCTTGGAGCTTTTGCATGAAAGGTGCTAAATTAGAGTTTATTGTTTATTGAATTTATTTGATGTGTCCAACCTCCTGGGAACATTCGCTGAAGTTAATTAAAAACAGATAGTTCCCACACTGACAGCTTACAGTGCCACTTACAAACCAGTAACATAAACAGTGTGCACTTTTGTAACCCTAAGTTGGGACACCTAGAGAACCACAGTTCTTTCTGATAGGGGAATAATCCTACTTTTATGTGAAAATTTGACTGCTGAGTTAAAACAGAGATATTCTCAATTTTGTCTGAGTCACCTACCTACTCCCATTAAAAAAAAATACTTAGAATATGGAGAGTTTCCTCAATTTTCAAATATAACTTACAGGTTGAAAAATTTAAAAATAATGTTTCCTTTATATCATTTTGGGAGTACATGAAGGTAAAAGCTTGTGTTTTATATATTGTTTTATGATAACTTTTTCTTTGCAGGAATGGCATTCCAAAGCAGCCAATTGCTTGTGCTTTCTTACCCCAACTTAATGGAAGCAGTGAAGCATCATTAAAATAATGGCTTGTTTGCTTCCTTTGCCAGTTGGTGATGGAGTTTTGTGGTGCTGGCTCTGTCACCGACCTGATCAAGAACACAAAAGGTAACACGTTGAAAGAGGAGTGGATTGCATACATCTGCAGGGAAATCTTACGGGTAGGTTACGAGTGGGGACTGGCCCACCTCCCAAAGTCTTCAAGCAACACATGATATCTTATGAGGGATTGAATTTTTTTCTGACTTTCTAGTGAAATTCATAAGCATATCAAAAACCCTTTAAAAGTTTATCCTATCAGTGGTGGTGGTGGTGGTAGTGGTAGTTTGGTGTGAAGGTCTGCTCTGATGGAAGTGAGCGCCATTCTGGAGATAGGCCATGAGCATATTTTCATTTAGGTTGACATTGGGTGATTTCTCTTAACAAGGGATTCATTTTCAATGCTGTTTCCAATTAGAAACCTGATTTTAGATCATAAAGACAGTGTTCCACTTAGGAAATGAATTATTTTATGAGATATTTTAATCACTCATTTAAGTTATCTGTTTGTGAAAGTTCACAATTAATATATTATCCCTAATGGTGTAATACCTTCCCACCATATAAAGTTTATAAGGATTGTGTGACTTTAGTCATTCCTATACATACAACCTAGTTTAACCGATTTTACCTTTAAAAAAAATCTTTGTGACCTAATCACTTAAACTAATCAAAATAGCTGAACAAGACTGCCTGTTTGCCCAGTTTTCCCACACATCCCCCAATCAGGAAATCTAGACAATAGTATCATATTTGCTGAGCTGAGTTCAGGAAGAAGAAAGTAACTGGGCATATTTTAGTTCATTCAGACTAGCTTAATCATCCCTTCCTACTAATATGGAGGTTATTATATGTCTACTGAGCATTCTTATTAAATCTTCCTGGCCATTGTTATTTATTTATAAGCTCTGCCTTCTTAATTTAAGGCAACAAAAGTTAAAACTTTTTTACTGTGTGTTCAAGATATGCCTTTGAGAGATAGATTGTATGCTTTGGGTGGATGGATGAAATGGATAGAAGTTAAAAAAGAAGGAAGGCATAAGAAGACGATGTCTGTTCATTAAATGCAAACCAAATTAGGCAAAAGGCAAATAGAAAATGGAATTTTAAAATTATAACATTGATGTGAATGACTTCTATCCTGAAAACTACAAAATATCACTGAGAAATATTAAAGAAGACCTTAATAAATGGAGGTGTACATTATTTCACAGATTACCCAATATTCTAAAGACATCATTTCTACCCAGTTTGATCCATGGTTTCATTGAACTTCCAATTAAAATTCCTATAGGTATATTTGTGGAAATTTATAAAGCTGATTTTCAAACATTATATAGAAATGCAAAGGGCCAAGAATAACCAAGGCAATCTTGAAGAAGAAGAGCAAAGCTGGAGAATTTATGCTACCAGTTATCAGGATTTATTATAAAGCTACTAATAAATTAAGACAGAGTAGTATTGTTACAAGATTAGACAATGGCCAAAGGAACAGAATCAAGGGTCCAGGAACAGACCCACATCATATGGATGATACCTGGTCTGTGTCAAAGGAAAGGGTTCTTTTATCAGTAAATAGTACTTGATCAATTGAATATCCATAAGAAAACATGAAACCTGACACCTGCTACATACCATATTCAAAAATTTATTCCAGCTGGGTTATAGATATAAATGGGAAAAATATAAAAATTAAAGCACTTAAGAAAAAACACATACATCCATGGCTTGGGATAGGCAAAAATATAAATTATATGTTTTGTGTTCTTAAACAGAACATAACACAAAATTTGAGGGGAAACAAGGAGGCCTGGCTGCTGATTTCCTTCACATCTGACGTTTATCTCTGTTTTGATGTGCCATTGTGCAAACTTACTTTGAATTTCTGACTTAAAATTTTGCTCATTCAGATAGAGCATAATGGATTATTTAGTCATCCTGACCACTCAGTGGCTGCCAAGAACCTGTCAGGTCTCTAGGGCTGGTTCTGCCCAATATGCCTTTCTGCACTGCTGGGGAACCCTACAGAGGATCAGTCATTTGATCTAATCTTCATGGTTCTAAAAGCAGCAGGGATGTTTCATCACATGAGCATCTCTCAATACCTTTCACACATTCTCAATGTGTGGAAACAATGGCTTTCCTCCTTTTTCCAGTATATTCTCCGAAATGATACCAGCATTTCAGACATGACTCACTGGAAGAGACATTTGATCACCCAAAGGTCTCTGGCCACAAGAGGTTTTGGAGGTGACCTCCATGCATTGTATGATCTCATTAAAAGAACTTTTGGCTCACTTCCATGCTCTGGTATCTGCTTTCAACCACTTCAGTAGTGAAAGAGGGAAAGGGATCTTCAGTCCCTCTCTTAAGGATTTATGGGGTACATAAATTTTGTGAAAACCACACATTTAAACCCCTGATGCCTACCCTGTGACAAACTGAACAGATAAGAAAGGCAATTTTTTAAGACCTAAACCAGTGCCTCAAACCCTTCTATAACATGGTTTATGTTTTCTGATATCTCTAAATGTATATGTGGGTCTTTTTGGACCTCTGTACTCTCATGCTGAATTTCTTTGACAAGAGAATTCAGATATCTAGGTTTGTTTCTTTTCCTGTCAACCTCATTTTTCATACCATGATTTTGTTGTTGTGGAGAAGATGAAAAGCACAAAAAATTAAAGGTAATAAAGAACACTCGGGGACCCGATACATTGAATTATCAGGTGTTAGCATAAAATAATTTGCTTTAAGACTCCATTTTTAGATTATTTTAGATTATAATTTATCTGAAAAATATATGACTACTTTAGAGTAAGTCTGTAGGTTAAAGAATTCACACCACAAAGAAGCCAAAAACAGAGTAATTCATGAAGAAATGGAACACAAACAGGTTTAGTTGTCACTGAATAATTCTCACATAATGAGCACAAAGTCACAAATAGCATAAACTAGCATAAACTAAAAATGACAGTGATGAATGCCAACAAAAGAAATAGAAACTGTATTCCTTTTTAAATGTAAGGCACAATGGGTAAAGCCAATGGGAAATTTCTTGGCTGGTCTGAGAAATATTTTACTTCGCTTAATTAAAATTGTATAACAAGGCCGGGTGCTGTGGCTCACACCTGGATTCCCAGCACTTTGGGAGGCCGAAGTGAATGGATCACCTGAGGTCAGGAGTTCAAGACCAGCCTGGCCAACATGGTGAAACCCTGTCTGTACTAAAATAAATTAGCCTGGCGTGGTGGCAGGCACCTGTAATCCCAGCTACTCTGGAGGCTGAGGCAGTCGCTTGAATCCAAGACACAGAGGTTGCAGTGAGCCCAGACCACGCCATTGCACTCCAGCCTGGGCGACAGAGTAAGGCTCTGTCTCAGTCAATCAATCATTCAATGAAATTGGATAACAGAATGTAAATTTTAACTTTTAAATTCAAATATCCTGCAGGGATTCAGTTAAATCAGGTTAGTTTTCTGTACAGAGACTGTGTAGATGGTTCTATTTTAAACTGTTTAAACTTCGCTTTTCACAGTAGTATTAACTGAAACTCATGTTCATGTTGGAACCGTATAATTACTTGTGTGGTTCCCTGATACCTGATAATCAGATCCAATATGCAAGCATTTCATTAAACACAGCACCATGCATTGCAAGGACTGCCTGGGTACTTTAATTTATATTGATGAATTGCCTACAGTTAGAAGAGCACTATGAGCACATGAAAGATGTGATTATAATTCTGAAAAGTATGTCTGGGTGAGTGTAAAGTTTTTGGATCCTTAACAGTCAAAATAATTTATTGGCATCTTGGCTTATGTTCCTATTAACCCTTCTTAACTCTCCATCACTCCAGGGGCTGAGTCACCTGCACCAGCATAAAGTGATTCATCGAGATATTAAAGGGCAAAATGTCTTGCTGACTGAAAATGCAGAAGTTAAACTAGGTAAGAGCAGAATCCTGTGAGCCTTGGAATTGCAGGAAGTGATGAGATTATATTAACAGCTCTAAAAAAATTAATGTTAATTTGTCACCGTGGATTTGGAGAGCATTGCCCTAAAAATGGAAAGGAAAATGTTTCTTTGCCTATTTTAAAAAATATTTTCTCAAGGCATTCTGAGGAATGAATTATATATAATGTGGGAACAGAACCACTTGCTTAATCAATATATAGAAATAATTGAGATTTTTTTGTTTCAGCAGAGATTAGAAGTGACAAACTTTGAAATGGCCTCCTATATCTTACAGTTTGTTTATACTGTTGCTGCTATAACAGAGCACTAGGACCCAATTTTTTTCCATTAAAATATACACAGGCATATTCAGAATAATCAATTCCTGCTATATTCCCATAGGTTTAAGTTATATTTACATTGATTTTGTTATTACCTTGGGCTCCCGTGCAAAGTGGATACTTAATATTCTACTTTAGGTGCATACTGATTACCCCCACTTCCATCAGTGGGAGAATCCTTCTCTTTGGCGTATCTGTTAGAGCTCTTTCCGCAACAAATCTGGGACTGCCCAAATAGAGAATTACCACATGCATTTGACTGCTTGATGTATATGAGTAAGAGCATGAATTGACAAATATCCAGTAGGATATGTAACTTGTCATCTAGAAAAGAATCGCTGTCCATATGATTGTATATTTTCAAAGAGATTTAAACATCTTCTATGTTTATATCCCAAACATTTGCTCTTCCTTTTTGTTGAAATATATGACTTCCATTTTTTTTCTTAGTTAACATTTGGGACCAAACTTTCTCACCTCATGAATATTCTCTTTTAAAAACAAAAGTATACATTATGTAGGCTAAGCAGTTATATATGTATCAACTAGATAAGCTATCCTGAGAGCATTCTTACTTCACTAATTAACAGTTACTTGTTGAGTATATATTATATGCCAGGCCCTGTACAAGACAATTTTCTATAGATTATCTCTCATAAACATCAGAGCAACTCTGTGTAGATGTCATCATCCTCATTTTACAGATTAGGAAACCGAAGCTCAGAGAGGTTGATCTACTAGCCCTAGGTCATACCACTAGTAGCGGCAGAAATGAGATACAAACTTAGGCAGTCTGACTCAGACTTTTGCTTTTAATCACTTGTCTTGTATCCCCAAAATACTACCCTTTCTGACAACCAAGCTTACTTTTTTTTAACACCTATTTTTGGTCCCTGTGAAGCCTTGGTGTAATCAAATGTAATTCTTTGTGCCTTCCTCATGGGTACACTTCATCCATTTCTCATGCAGTTTAAAAACATATTCACAATATAGAAAAGGTAGAAGCAACCCAGGTGCCCATCAACAGGTGAACAGATAAACAAAATGTGGTCCATACACACAATGGAATATTATTCAACCTTGAGAAGGAAGGAAATTCTAACACATGCTGCAACGTGGATGAACCTTGATGATATTATGCTAACTGAAATAAGCCAGTCACAAAAAGACAAATACTGTATGATTCCACTTATACAAGGTAGTGAGAATAGTCAAATTTATAGAGATGGAAAGTAGAATAATTGCCAGGGGTTGGGGCAAGGGGGAATTGGGAGCTATTGTTTAATAGGTACAAAGTTTCAGCTGGGGAAGATGAGAAATTCTGGAGATGGACAGTGGTGAAGGTTGCACAACAGTGTGGATGTGCTTAGTGCCCCAGAAATGTACATTTGAAAATGGTCAAAATTGTACACTTTATGTTACTTATGTTTTACCACAATAAAATAATTCACATTCATTTTATCGCTATCTAAAACCTATGATCACAGACTTTATTTACTTGTCTTTTCTTAAATAGTGGACTTTGGAGTCAGTGCTCAGCTTGATCGAACAGTGGGCAGGAGGAATACTTTCATTGGAACTCCCTACTGGATGGCACCAGAAGTTATTGCCTGTGATGAAAACCCAGATGCCACATATGATTTCAAGGTATGGCTTCTTTGTCGTGTTTCAAAACTATGCCTACCATCTTATCCTGAGTCTTATAAAGTCTTACATGCCCTTATATTTATGATTTATGTCACCCAAAGGGAGAACTGAAAAACATTATTTGAGTTTAAGACCTGTAAGACATTCAAGTGAGGATCTTTTTAATGAATTCACCCATCTTATCTGATGGCCTGTTTGTAAAAAATAAAAAAATAAATAAAAAGTTTAAATCATTTTCTATATTTTTTTAAATTTACTCTTGCTTCTTATTATTGGAAAATAGATTGGATTTCCATTTTGGTTATGGTTTAGATTTTTGGAAGAGTATATATTCTGATAGCTTTTTACGTTAAACTAAGATGTGAGTTTGTTGTCTTGGGTCATCTTTTTCTGATTGAGAATAATCTGACTTACTTCTACAATGCTCGAAGTATAATTATCTGGGGTTTCTTTTTCATGAGAGGGAATCAGATGGAATATTGGTGACTACTTTATGGTATTTCTGTCGTGTGGCCTGATGTTTCATAGAAATTTGATTTGTGACTTGTTACTTTATATTATAAACTAGAAATTTGCTAATACATTCAAAGCTGTGTTCAAATAGATTTCTCCAAGAAGCCCTTCTCTTTTCTATTCTGCTAGCCAATAACCAAACATAATTTTGCATTATTGCCCCTCAGGTTTATTGTCTGGACTTTCAGGTGACACGGCTTTCTAATGAATGGTGACTGAAAGTCAAGGCAATAAAATTAGGGGCAATGGGATCTAGGAACTGTGTGTGGGTTTCCAGGCTGTGCATTAGGTAGAGAGACACCCTGTGGTCTTTGTGTACATTACAGGACAACTTGGGCAAAACTTGATCTGCTTGGGCTGGTTTCAGAGGTGCATGGACTTTTCACCAAAACACTTTAATGATCCTCTGTAAATACTCTTATCTAACAGATGAAGAAACTGAGGCCGAGGTCTGCAGGTGCTCACCGGGTTAGCAATCCTCTCAGAGTTAGCACTTGAATGCAGGTCTCCAAACTTTCTGTTCAGAGCCCTTTCCAATATATTACCTTGCTCCTCTGTAATGTACTTCCATATAAATCTCCAATTTATCAATTGAACAGTATATTTGAAGAATATTTCACTTTTAAGGAATATTTTTAGTTCTCGACATGTGGGGTTATTATTGAAATCAGGTCTCAAAGATGCAAACATTGCAGCGTTTTTGAGGCCCCGTATCTCAGTGTTGACAGAAAATTTGCCTCTTTTGGGAATTGCAAGCTTGAAGGTCTGAAAACCTAATAATCTCCCATAAATTTCCTCCTTCCTTCAAAGTTAGTCACTGTAATAACCTGACAACAATCTGTCTGAAAACAGCTGCCAAGTTAAAAATTAATCTCCTGCCAAAATGTCATTTTTTTAAACTGCTAATGATAAGCATATTTAAATAATTCTGTTTGCAAATCCCTTCAGAGAAGCCACTACAAAATATACATCCCAGGCCAGATATGGGTATCATGATTAGCTACAAGCAATTCTTCAAACCATAGTTATACCTAACAAGTGCTAACTAGTCTACATCTGGGCCACAGATATTCTAGATTACTATGTAACATAGCATGGGGAAACAGCGTTTGCAGCTCTTACAACCTCAGCTTAATCTTTTAAGTATTGTGACTGACTGCACTATATATGGGACTTTTGTTATGTAAATAAAGTGGGTGCCTACAACTGACTTGTTTTCAGTAGGGTATCTAGAAGAGGCTTTCCTTCTGGCCAAGCCAAAGCTTGGAATTAAACTGATATTTTGGTCCTCTTTCCTCAGATTATGGCTAAGGAGTATAGTTTAAGATCACTGTAAATGGTGTGAGACCAGTGCATAACTCTAGGTATGGGCAAATCCTGTTGTATGAGTAGCCACAGAGGTCGTCATGCTGCACAGTGATTTCAGAGGTACTGGAAGGCTCACCTGGCTATAAAAGTATCCTGAGACATTAAAAAGATTGAAGATGAATGTCTGTGTGTTTTTTTAAAAAATAAAGAATCCTGATAGAATAGGTTCAATGGTGTCAGTCATTTAGACCTTAGTGCAAATTAGTTTAACAGGATTGTCAGGAATGTAGGTTGTGCAAGAGGAGGAAAAAGTCATGGCAGGGATATGAGCTTCACTGGTTATATGCCATGGGTAAAAAGAGGAGGATGACAAAAGAATGAATAAGGAAGACTTTTCTACAGAGGACTTTATAATATTGAATTATTTTAGGTTTTTAAAAAAATTCATAGTGGTCTTCAAAGACATCTTAGACAAATCAAATAGTAAATAATAAATAACAAAACCAAGCCATACCCTGTTGGGGTATAGTGGAAGGTTTGGGGATTCTTTGCAGATTTATTTAATCCACTTATACAGTTTTACTGTGGGCCAGAGAAGATGCTGATCTTTAAATAACCTTACTACTTCTTTCTTGGCACCATATATCATCCCCTTTTCTGTTCAGTATCCTTAGGAATGTAACCTGTCACCAGGGGACAACTTGACAATATGCTGACTTTCAAAATCATTTATTCATTCACTCAGTGCATATTTATAGACTATCCATTGTGTATAAGGAGTTAGTCAAGCTGTATCTGTACATGCAGTTTCTGATAGAAGGTTCATTTGAGACCCCATCAAAGCCCGAGGATTTCACTGTGTGTTTGGTGGTCCACTTGGCCCAGTGGTGTATCCCAGCCCCAGAAGCTTGATGTCAACACTTTGGGCCCTCATGTGCTATAGCCACTTTCAGCCGAGAGTGTGTATTTAGAATAAAGGATGACTTGGCCACCGGACTTTATTAGATTTCTTACCACAAAAGTCCTTTCTGTAAAATAAAGACAAGAAGAAAAAGAAAAAGAGTATAGCTTAGTTTTGTTATTTGATTTATTGTTTATCAATTATTTTTTGATGTGTCTAAGATGTCTTTAAAGACCACTATAACTTTTTACAAAACCTAAAGTAACTCAACGTATAAGGTCTTCTGTAGCTTTTTATTGCAGAGTCTGGTTTTGTGTGATATCTACTGGGCACAGTAAGTAACTCACTGAAAATAGACCCTCTCCTAAGGAGGAGTGCCAGAATCTCATTTGCCGGGTGTGCTGGCTTTCCCCTGGAGGCCCTTCCTTTCTTGTTTTCAGAAATTCTGTCAAAACACTTCAAGTGAAAGGAAAGGTTTCATTTCCCTGATAAGTATGTGGGGCAATAATGAAAGCTTTCCCGTTTAATAATAAGCATTCAAAAGATTTGAAATTAATAAAACTGTTCAAAATGCCTAGGCTGTTTAAATTGTTATTTTTTTAACCTACTTTGAATTTCATTTTGGTTGGATGGGATCTGCTAAGCATTTTATAGTCCTGTGTATTTATTACTTTAACAGAACCACCCACTAAGAAATTTCTGTGGCTGAATGCCACAGTATAGTACACATAATGTAGTCTTATTCACCCCTCCCACCCCATAGACACACACACACACACACACACACACACACACACACACGGGAAATCTATAAAGAACCTGGAAAAACTTAATAGTATTTACTTTTGAATAGGGCATGTGGATGGAAAACTTACAATTTTTATTTTCTATATCTTTCTGTCCTGTTATGTTTTTTGCCATAAACAGGCCTTGCTCTTATATGAAGCCAATGAAGTAAGAGATGCACAGTGAAATGGCTTACCCCCTTATCCCACTCCCCACCAGATTCCTGTCCTCAGGCCTGATCTGTGCCAATGTTGTTTATTATTTGCCTAAACTCTGTTTATGAGACTTTCATATGGGTGCTGCAGATTATTTGCAGACATGGGTGTCTCCTCCAGCGTTTGGGTGAATATTGTGCTCTGGTTGTAGAGAAAAAGTACTCTTTTCCCCTGTGTCACAGATAATTGGCATTATTCAGGCAGGGTGGAAATACTTCTTCTAAGTAAGAGTTTCAGTTGGAAATGAAGTGAGCAACCTAACTAGTGGTAGAGTTTCCGCCGTGCAGGGTGTCACCTGAGAGGACAATATTCAGATTGCAGAATGATGCATTTACACTCTCAAACAAGTCGTGGCCTCTGTCTACTGAGATTCAAACAAAGGTCCTTCCCTATTCGATCAGAAGGAAGATGACCCAGATAGCATGTTAGTGTCACCAACAGGAAACTGAAACTCCTATTCAACATATTTCTGTGGCTCTCTGTTCACACCCACCTATAAAGGATTCCTTAGTGAAACGCAGCCAGTACCTCCTCCACGCAACATGCTGATACCCAGGGGAAGAGAGTGAGCTATTCTAATATTTTCCCTTTGGTCACATAACAAGTGAAAATGGACAAAAAACTAAAGATTTCTGTCCTCAGTTTGTTTTATGTGTGAAATGGGATTATTAATAACTATCTCCACTTCAGTGACCCTAACTCACCACCTAAGTTCTGTATCTAGATAACATAATATATAAATATATAACATAATTAATAAGAGTCAGTCCTTTGAAGTCAGACAGGACCAGTTTAGACTTTGCCTCCTATTTGCAAATTAACTCAGGGGAGTTATTTAACTTTTTGTAAACCTGCATAAAATGGGAATAATAAATTGTTTATTCGGAGGTTATAATAGAATAAAGTGAGAATATATATAAAGGGATTAATACAGTGTCCACCACTTGGTAAGTACTCAATATATAGTACTTAGTATATATATTATAGATAGTTTTGTGTTTATGTTATCATATGGAAGTATTGCTATTTGGGGCCTTTTTTTTTTTTTTTTTTTTTTAAGACGGAGTCTACCTCTTGTCACCTAGACTGGAATGCAGTGGCACGATCTCGGCTCACTGCAACCTCTGCCTCCTGGGTTCAAGCGATTCTCCTGCCTCAGCCTCCTGAGTAGCTGGGATTACAGGCGCCCGCCACCACGCCCAGTGAATTTTTGTGTTTTTAGTAGAGACAGGGTTTCACTGTGTTGGCCAGGCTGGTCTTGATCTCCTGACCTCGTGATCTGCCCACCTTGGCCTCCCAAAGTGCTGGGATTACAAGCGTGAGCCACTGGACCCGGTGGGGGCCATTTTTTACCCCTAAAAGGCAACAGTTTCATACGGTTCAACCTCATATTTGTGTTACACACCTCTGTCTGCTTACGTTGAGCCAGAATCTGCTTCTCTATAACTTTTACCACTCAATTAAGATGTTGTCCCTAGGGACCATACACACAATGCATCAATTTCTTTTTCCCACCTGGAACATTTCAAAAGAATAAACTAGTCACAAATAAGTTACCCAACAAAAGACGATTTTCTGCTCTGTGATACAGTATGCTGGCTGTGCCCATTATTAAGCTATTGTCTGTCAACTGTGGACTGCCGTGCTGCTCTCTGCTTTGTGATAATGGAGCTAGGAGTCAGCTGTCCTCCCTTCTGTTTGTCCATCTGACTTCTTATCAGGCTCTGCCAGCAGGGAGCAATAGAGAACGGGAGATCAAGTCTGGAGGAGGAAGGAGGACACACGTTTTCCTGTTTGCTTCCTGTAAGCTTCTTGTTTATGCCTGCATGGTCCCTGTGACCTCTTTGACCACCACTGAGTACCAGAGCTCCCTGTCATCTTACCTGACTCTGGTTTGCTGGTTGAACTGCCAGTTGATGATATCTGGTCCTAAGGGTCTATCTGTACCCACATTCGTTGAATACCCAATGCAGCATGTACTGCATTGTATATTAGGCACTTTTTGCATATTCTTCCTTATTGAATTCTCTTACCAGTCCTGCAAGACATGTGTTCTTTTCCTGTTGCAGTTCTTTTCATGGGCTCAGAGTTGTTAGTTGTGTCACAGTTGGGTCTGGCTGCAGACCATAGGCACCTTCTACCTCATGGTGCACATTGGGGTTCTTGTCTTGTGCCACACAGCCTCTCATTCTTCTGTGGCTGGTTCAGACATCTAAACGTGTTGCTTTTCTTCACTGTGTTGAGCAGCCCAGCCCCAGAAGGAATGCTTTCTTGTTCTGTTCAAGTTGCTTGTGTATCAGCTGTTCCCCACTCCCACCCTTTCCAGCAGCCAAAAGTTCTGTCTTGCCTCTGCCTTCCCAAAGGCACTAGAATTTGTCTCTCTTCTGTTTGTAATGCACATAGCGCTAGGGTATTAATCATGCCACAGGCTAGGCTGCACAACACCTCTGGAATAATGAATTATCCAGCTTCTGCCAAAATGAGTCACACCATGGCCATGAACGAAACTTATCTCTTTCTGACTCTTTCCTCATCTTGTTCTTCCATCTTCCCTTGCTTGTCTCCTGTGATCTGTCTTGCCAGTGGTAATTGGAGCATTTTCTCCTTTACTTAAGTTCTGAAGTGTCTTTGGGACTCGCTAATGTATCCAACGGCTAAACAAGGCCTGTCAAGGACATTTATGGCTTTCTAGCATGGGCAGTTGAGTGTAGCTTACAAGCAACTTTGGATATATATGACCAGGAATATAAATGTTCCTTTTGGAAAACAAGAGAACCCCAGCCAAAAAAAAAAAAAAAAAAAAAAAAAAAATCCTAACAATGATATCAAATGAAGGCTTAAGGAAGCAGCAGAATTGACTAGGTCATGTGACTTAGCAGAGTATGCACAGGTATTTGTGGTGATATGACCTTTGGTTTGAAAGGGGTGTTCTGGTGGCTTAGGGAAAGGCTGCCCAAGAGGGATTCTGAGGTGATGTGTACTAAATAAAGTACATATTTTTTCCCTAAACCTTCTTGCTTCCTGTGGAATAAATCCAGGATTACCTAACAAATGAGACCTCTCCATTTCCTTACTGTCAAAGTATGTTCTTCAAATTACTGCTGTATGTGTATTATCACTTAGGAATGCTTTTGTCTGTACTTACGTTTCTTATGTCACCAGAAATCTAGAGGTAGGCAGTTCAGGGTTCATGTGATGCTTCACTGATACCTTCAGAAACCGAAGCTCCTAGCTTTCTGTGCTGGCATCATTAGTCTGTTGGCAATAACTCATGGTTGCAAGATGGATGCTGTAGCTCCAGATATCATATTTTTATTCAAGGCACTAAGAAGTGGGAAAAAGTTAGCAAGACACTAGCTATATTTGTCCCTTATTTCAGGAAAAGCAGAAGCTCCCAGAAGATGTTTGCTTATGTCTCATTGGAGAAAACTATGTCACATCCCTAACTGCCATCCTTAGCTGTCGGGGAGTCAGGATAGGCAAGTGTGGCTTTGCTATACTCTGAAATGGAAGCAGCAACAAAAATGAGGGTTGAAAATGACCATTGGGTTAGCCAATAAACAATTTCTGCCACAACTAAATGAAGGGAAATCATAGAAGACTAAGTTGGGCAGGCAAAGGCAGTGTCACCTGACAGTGGAGAAGAAGGAAATCAATATTCTTGAGCCCTACTCTGTGCCAGATTTTGTGCTAGCAGCATACCTGATCAATACATGCATGCCACGGTTATTTCCATTGTGCAATTGAGAAAGCTAAGCTCTGAGCAACAGTCTGCATGTAGCTAAATTGGAAACCTCTATTTGAATTCGGATCTGCCTGTCTTAAAAGCCTATTCTCAGCTGGGTGTAGTGGCTCATGCCCATAATCCCAACACTTTGAGAACCCGAGGTGGGAGGATTGCTTGAGCCCAGGAGTTCAAGACCAGCCTGAGCCACATAGTGAAACCTCATCTCAATCAATCAATCAATACCTGTTTCTTTCTTTCTACCAATCCATGTTGCCATTGGGAAATTGAGGCGAGTTTTATAGCATGAAACTGGAGTACCTCACTGAATCTCAGTACCTTTATTGAGTTGCCAGCACCTTCAGTCACCTATGGACAAAGTAGGAATCTGAAGTAATTATTTTATGGATTAAAAATGCATTTTGATAACAAAAATGATAAGGGGAAAAATGGTGAATACTCAAGTCCTTAGATTGTGATGCTAGTTAAAAGAGAACTGGCCTAGGAAGCAGAAGACCCAGCTCAGTTTAAAACCAGCTGCTAAGTTGCTCTTTGATCTTGGGTAAGTCATGTTCCCTCATTTGTGAAGTGAAAGGTTTGGCTAGGTGATCTGCAAAGAGTCTACTAGCCCTAGAACACTTAGGTTTTGCTACGTTCTCTCATGTATCTTTCATTTGTTCATTCATTCAATAAATATTTATTAAGGGCCTACTGTGTGCCAGGAGCAGTTCTAGGTACTTTGGATACATCAGACAACAGAACAAAGATCCTTGCCCTGTGGCTCTTAGGTTCTTATGTATGTGTGTTAGAGGTAAAGGGCACAAGCAATCAACACAAAACATGGTAAATTAGTGATGAATAAACATGTCGTATGTTAGAGGTGGTTAGTTCTGTGGGGGACAAATATGGGGAAGGGGCATGAGCAGTGCTGGGGGGAGGTCCCAGGGGTCCTCGTTGAGAACACAGGGGTTGAGCAGGCTTTGGGGAGGTGAGGGAGTCAGCTAGCACATCACTGCTGAGGTGCTGCAGGAAGAGGTAACAGCTTGAGTCAAGATCCAAAGGCTGGGCCTTCGAGCATTTTCCTTCTTCCTGACCTGAGGCCTGGCCTTGAGTTCTTCTTACCCCAGAACCATCATTTTCTTTCACATGTATTGGTTTTCAACCCAGCTCAAAGCTTTCTGGACTTGAAAGCCATTTAAATTGGACCCTTCTGTTGCAGTTAGGGCCATAGAGCCTGGCTGCCACCTTCTTACTTGTGTCTTATTTCACGCTATAGAAACTCTCAGTTCCTAGGGATTTGGGTAAAATGGTGGTAGAACTACCAAGGTCTGGAGATACTAGAGTCTTATCAAAATAGCACAGGGACCTTAAGAGCCAACCCACCATTTCCAGACTATTATTGCTGTGTTTCCTGTTTAAAGCCTCCTGAACAGCAAATGATTCAGTGTTTCTCTCATGTTCCGAAATGATTATCTTTGTCTATCAACCATAAAACCCCAGGTACAGGCCGGGCACGGTGGCTCATGCCTGTAATCCCAGCACTTTGGGAGGCTGAGGCAGGTGGATCACGAGGTCAGGAGATCAAGACCATCCTGACTAACACTGTGAAACCCGTCTCTACTAAAAACACAAAAAATTAGCCGGGCATGGTGGCAGGCACCTGTAGTCCCAGCTACTCGGGAGGCTGAGGCAGGAGAATGGCGTGAACCCAGGAGGCGGAGCTTGCAGTGAGCCAAGATTGCACCACTGCACTCCAGCCTGGGCGACAGAGCGAGACTCCGTCTCAAAGAAAAAAAAAAAACAAAAAACCCAGGTACAATAGAACTGCGTTTTTGTCTTTACCAGTTATTGCTCCTGAGCCAACTTGTAATAGATGGGTTGAGCCATCCCCATCAGCTCCGGAAATAACCTCACTAAGCGAGGCCAAGAGCCTCTGGGAGACTCAGTCACTTGCTAGGCCAGAGAAACACGGGGTGCAGATTGCGTTTAATGAAAATCTTTGTGTACATCTTGAAACATAACAAAGAGAAGGGACAAGAGTTGACTTTGTGAGTTGTGTTGTATGCAGAGAGTTCCTTGGAGTCTTAGAATGATGGTGTTGTGAAGGTGCATTGCTATTCCCAGTTGAACTGAGAACTGGTAACATTGAAAGAATCCCCCTTGCTCCTAGTGTGAGGTTACACATGTGCCCCAGCCACCTGCTCTCAGGTAGACTGCACTTTAGGCAAGAGGCTAGACCCCCTAGAAAACCCCCTCCACATTGTGCAGACCTCTGCCCAATTACTGAAGAGCCCTGAGTGTCATTTCACAGGATATTGAGAAACTTAGTTCTGGGGAGTGACTCAGCATGAAGGTTATGAATTTTATGAAGCTCTCTTCCAGTTACATCTCTTTTTCATGTGGCCTTGACATTTGTTTGATGGCAATAGCAAGGAAACTTACCTTTGATCACTCTAATCTGAGACAATTTTGAAAAATGTACAAAATGCATGAGGTATTTAAAATGAAATATCTATATTAGGATGTGGGCCATTGAACCAAATTTGATACTAGATTTTCTTACCAATCTGCTGTGAAACTGAGGCAGCAAGCCTCTTCTTGGTGTTTTCTAACCAGGTTTTCCCCATCTCTTGATATTCCCCCTCTCATGCAATATTTAGAGACTACTGAGCCACAGACAGAGTATGGGAGGAGAATATTGTTAGAGATGGAGATTGTACAGGTAGAAATGGAGGCATTAGCCTAGAAAATTCTGTTCAGAGAATAAAAGTCACTCTGAGCATAAGAAATAATATAAAGGTATACTGGCCTCTATTGTTACATACTAGTCTACTCACAAAATAGGCAATAATTGTTTATCTTTTCAACAAATACTTTGAGTACCTCCTACTGTGCCCAACTCTGATCTAAGCACAAGAGAGACATCAGTGAATGCCATCATCAAAAAGTCTCCCTGTCCTCATCTTATTAGGTAAAACCATATGAAATTGCTGTTTTTCTAGTTAAACCAATTGAATATAAATAACACCTACTATCTGATCCAGCCATTCCACTCTCAGGTATTTAACTAAAAGAAATAAAAGCATACACCCTCGGATTTGTACACCAATGTTTGCAGCACCTGTATCTGTAATAGCCCAAACTAGAAACAGTCCAAATGCAAAAACAGTGATATGTCCATAGAATGGAATACTACACAACAATAAAAAGGAGTGAGATACTGATATGTACTACAACATGGGTGGACTTCAGAAACACTATTCTACGTGAAACAGATCGAATACATAAGACCACATATGATGTGATTTCACTTATACAAAACTTTGGAAGTTACAAACTAATTCATAGTGACAGAAAGCAGATCATTGGTTGCCTAGGGACAGGAGAGTGGGGATGGGTTCAGGCAGGAAAGGAAGGAGGCAAATGAGATCTTTGGGGGATGATGGGTATGTTTACTGTTTTGACTGTGATGATGTGTTCACAGGAGGATCCCTACGTCATACCTTATCAAATGGTGTACTTTAGGTACAGTTTATTATATGACAATTATAGCTCAATGATGGTGTTATAAACAGTCAAATAGCAGCAATTTCCTATGGTTCAACCCACAGATAAGTTTCAGTAACGAATTAATTTAAAATTGTTTATATTCATTTTTCATACATTTATTGATAAGCTGCCATGTGCCAGACACCATGAGTGGTACTGTCAATGAAAAGTAAGACTGTTTCTGCTTTGAAGGTTAGTGGAAGAAATAGGTTTGTAAACAGAAAACTGAATGACTTTCACAGGAAGTTCTGAAGCAATTACCAGGTTTAACCAAGTTGTCCTTTGTTGACTGAATTTATGTGTGTGTCTGCCCCTTCTTTTTCAGAGTGACTTGTGGTCTTTGGGTATCACCGCCATTGAAATGGCAGAAGGTGCTCCCCGTAAGTACCCTCCTCTGGGGTGAAATCTGTTGCTGGTCTGCTCTGCAGGTACTGAAGTTTCCTTGCCAGGAGCTGCAGTTGCTTTACTTCCACTACACCGAGCCCTGCATGGATTCAAGCTGGCATATTTAGAAAGCAGAGTCATCTTAAATCAACCAGGAATCCATTCATTTCAGAGCAGTGGGAGAATCCTGTTTTTATTAGAAAAAAAAAAAAGGAAGAAAAAGAAAGCATACTTTGGGGAGTCTTGTTTGTTTTACAGATTCTGTACATCATTTATTCTTGGACTACTCCTCACCTGACATAAAACTGTGACCAACTCACAAGACTATAAACTCCAATGTATGAAAATCCAAAATTAATTTTCAGTGCACAGGTTATACAAAGACTCCACTCAATGGCTATCACTCCTCTTAAAATACTGATGTTTAAAATTTTAGATTTCCCTGCTATTTGAGACAGAGTGGCTAGGGCTCCAGCAGTCTTGAGAATCTCAGTTCCTTGAGATTTGGAGTATTGGCCCCAGCAGAGAGTCTCTGTCATGAGACTGTGCCTCACAGACTTCCATATAGGAAGTGTAACTGATTGTCAGCCCCAGCTGCTGCAATGGCAGCAGGCCGCACCTTTCAAGGGCCACTCCCCGCCAGTGACCTAGCACAGTGGGGATACTAAGGCAGGCCCTTTCCTGGAGGACACAAGATTCCTTTGTAGGCAACTTTCACCCAAGTAATCCCCTATGACTTTACAAGACCTGCAGGACAGGCTGGGACCCTTCCACCTACCTTTTCTCCCTCTCTCCTTCACTCAGGGTCAGACTTGCATAGCAATCTGATGACTTCCCATACTGCCTGGCTCCTTCCCTGTTTCCATTCACATAGTAATTTACCCAGTAATATCCTTGGTGTCTGCATCTCAAAGGACTAGGACAAAAATAGGCCCTTTATTTGCACGACAGGTCATTATACTTATGACTTTTACCTTCGGGTTGTCATCGTTTTCTTACTTCCCAGTCTAGAATTGGTAGAACTCATCTGTAGCATGATTGATTTGGAGTGCTGGTTGACAAAATTGCCCTCATTCACAATGCTAATAGGCATGTGTGAATCAGAAAAATAATATATTGCAGTCTTAAACCATATTATCATTCTTGATGAGTGGTAGACAGGGCTAAAAATAAACTTCTGCCCACAGAATCCTTTGGCTTTTAGGGAGCATATATTCTTATTCTAGCTACAAAGTAGAAATTCTCCCAGATGTTTGAAAAGTAAACTAATAAAATATTTTATTAAAATAAGAACATATGAGTGCTTTCACTATAAACGATAATGTCATGTTTACAAGATGAGATCTTTTTATAACTTTGTTTTTCTGCCAGACTCTGTGTGACTTAATCCTCTGGGCTTCCTGGGGCCAGTGAATTTAAAAACAAAATGAAACAAAACCCGTTACGAAACCTGAAAAGCCATTCGGGATATCTGGAAACAGAGAAAATGGGGCTCTGGGGCTGGTGTTTTGGACTCCAAAAATCTGTGTAGATAACAATTGCATTTGGATGAGCTGTCGACGTGTAAGAAATAGACGGGATAATGAAATGCCTTTTATTTATGGCTTAGGCTTTTACTAATTAAAAATAGCTTACCATCTCCATTGTAGTTGTCATCTGATGGTATTTACTTTAAATGTCAGGTGGTCATTCACAGCAAGGATGGCTGGTTGTTGACCCTTTAACTTAGTTTCCTTAAATATGAAGTAAACATGTATTCACTAGAAATGTTAGCAGTAGCTATGTGAACCATGTTGTATTTTATGAGACTCCTGTAAGTGGATATTGGATCTTTCAAATGCTCAGAAGCATTTGGATATTCTGACTTTGTGCTCACTGGTGGTGTGTAAACTGAGTGGGTCATTGGGCAGCCATTATCTGCACAGCCAAGACGGGCTTGGCCTGGGTTTGGCCTCCTAACTGTAGCTGGCCCTTGTTTTGGTCTCTTGCAGCTCTCTGTGACATGCACCCCATGAGAGCTCTCTTCCTCATCCCCCGGAACCCAGCGCCTCGGCTGAAGTCTAAGAAGTGGTGAGTTTGGTCTTCGATGTTTCGCAGATCTAAGGGTGAGGTTTTCTTGTGATTCTATTTTGGATTAGCTCTAATCCCTAGGTCCTGCTGATAGAATGAGACTAACATGTATGATGACTTGGTGAATTACTTTCCATATGCTGTCATTCATCTTAAAGTATATATTGAGTATCTACTGTTTGTACAGCAGGTCTTTATTCCCCCACCTTTAAGGTAAGAAATTATTAGCCAAAATGGGTAAGTGAAGCCAAGTAATAACATGAAAGCTCTTTGATCTATAACTCCAAGTCATATCTTTCCTGGCAGCACAGAACAGCTTATCAGAGAGGGTGATAGTTTAGAGAGTCAGCCTGTTAGATTGGCTGATTTCTCTTCTATTCCTTACAACAATCATTCCCTAAGTGCATATACATACCAGGTAATGTTTGAGATTATTTCTCTGGCTCGTGTATGAGCATTTGCAGTTTTTTTGTTTTTACTACTGTTTTCACATATGGCAGGTGATACTGGCTTCTTATTTGGGGCAGCGATTTAACTTTTCCTTTTGATAAACTTACATAAAACAGTGGCTTAATTTAAAGGAAACTACTACATGAATACTAGTATGAGTGGTGTGAGGGTACGGCAAAAATTATGTTGATAGGATATGACTGACTGACATTTGGGAAACAGTTCTACAGGTTAAGCCAGATGTTGGATGTTTGACTTTTTGGGGATAATTATATAGTTGGGATCTTCCTATCTTATTATTCCATAACCAAAATTCATTGCTTCCTCCTTTCTTCCTATGGAAATGGTGTATCCTCCCTGATACATTCTTGAATCTCGGATTACTCATGGTCTGAGGTCAATTCCTGCACTATTTGTGACCTCCTATCCTTTTTCTAGAGATAAGTCCTGGGCAGTGAGACCATGAGGGACAGGATCCTTCTGCCCCTTTCCATAGCCCTTCATGATCAGGCGCTTGACTGGGGTCCTCATGTTTCCCACCCACCCACACACAGGCTCACCTCTACCATACAGGGGGCAGCCTTAATTACCACCAGTCATCTACTAATGAGAGCCACCCTGGTGGAACAGAGGAAAGGGCACACTGCACAGAAAGAGGGAAGGAAACAGCCAGAAAAGAGATGGCAGCCTCAGAATTGCCGGGCCCTGCGAGGGGAGTGAGAGTTGCTATTGGTAACAAGGAGGCAGAGCGTTCCCTGCTCCTCCTTCCTCTGCAGAGGGTCATTGTGGTGCAAGACAACCCTTCTCTCCCCAGCAACAGCCCTCCCATTGGGTGTCATACATCATGTGATCGGCAAAGCACCCCAACACCCTGCTTCCTCTCTTCTCCCTGGATCAGACTCCCGGGGAGAGGGACTGGCGCAGTTCTCTTCCCTGGAAGTGACAGTGACACTACAAAGCCCTCTGCTAGGTTCCTGCTTGATATCTGAGCTGAGTCTGGTGTATACAGTGGGCTTTACTTACCCTGTTCCCTGCCCTATCTTCTCCTTGTCTCCCTTTACTGCTGCAGGACACGTATTCTGAGCTTTTCCACAGAGGAGGACAAACTGGCCCTCCACAAATGTATTTGGCTGTCACACTATGGTCATATACCCTGTTTTAAAAATATGTGTATTAATTGGCAACACTTAAAAATCTGTCAATTGAGCATTACATTTAGATTTCTGGCCTTTTTCTTGCAAAGATGCAGTGAACTGCCTGCAAAGATGCTAGCTGCTGCTCCCATTTAGGACAAGTGATTGTCCTTCTCCTCCAGCTGCCACCTCCCCCCAACTCAGAAGCTGGTGTCAGTTGGTTAGTATACATCTCCTGTTTTCTTTTCTTTTCTTTTCTTTTTTTTTTTTTTTGAGACGGAGTCTCGCTCTGTCGCCCAGGCTGGAGTGCAGTGGCACGATCTCGGCTCACTGCAAGCTCTGCCTCCCGGGTTCACGCCATTCTCCTGCCTCAGTCTCCTGAGTAGCTAGGACTACAGGCGCCCGCCACCATGCCCTGCTAATTTTTTGTATTTTTTTTTTTTTTTTTAGTAGAGACAGGGTTTCACCGTGTTGGCCAGGATGGTCTTGATCTCCTGACCTCATGATCCGCCCGCCTCGGCCTCCCAAAGTGCTGGGATTACAGGCGTGAGCCACCGCGCCTGGCCACATCTCCTGTTTTCATCTTAACCATGGTCTACACCACCCCTTTTTGTGACCTACCTGACCCCACAGAAAAGTGAGTGAACAGCCCTTGCCCTACAGTGTCAGTTTTCACCGACTGAGACCCAAAAAAGATCAACGGTGTGCTGACCTTGTTTGAGAAATACAAACTTTTAGGACAATGCAGTCTGATTTTTCGGCTTCAAACCTTTGACAACAACTAATTTTAATAATGCTGGAGGGAGCAGGAGAAGTTTGGAAACACTGAGAAGTCCAGGCCAATTTCATCTCATCCTGCCACCTTGCACACCTTTCCCTGATGTGTAAGGAAAACTGAGTAGGAAAGCTATGGGAACAAGTCCCATATTGTCAGACAGGGAAAGGAAAAGTAACCTGATTGCTAGAGAGAGACCGGGGAAACAAAAGCCCTGATAATGTGCCATTTCACACTTCGATCCCAGCCTTTGTAGAGGTGGTGGTGCAGCCTCCAGGCACATGATACTTGACAGCAGACATGGCTCCCATTTCTCTGCAATACAATTCCACCAGTTTTTAAGTGAAAATATTTAAACACTTCAGAGTATTTTATCTTGAAAGCGCAGGTCCAAAGTGATTTGAAGTAAGTTAGGGTTTACTTTAATAGACTCTAGTGTTTGAGAGGAAATGAAACATTTTGTTTATGTTTTTTATTTTAATTATTTAAGAGGAAAAGACTCCCTCCCCCGACCAAGAGACAAAATTCCAAAACATTCTTTTATTTCCAGCTATTCTCTACCTAAATGAGTTACCGGGTTAAATGCCTTGTTCTCAGTGTATATATCAACACCTGACCAAAGGGGGCGCCATTGTTGAGACAGGGCCATGAACTCTTCTCATGGCAAACATTCAATAAAGCATCATTTTCAACATGACTGAGTCTACAACATACAAGGCATAAACTGGTCTCTTAGTGTGAACTTTTTTTTTGTTTTTTAACTTGTACCTTCAAGATTTGAGAAATAAAGGCAGTGGCACTGCTCTTTCCACTGTCATCGTGGAGGGAAAGGAGACCACCACCACTCACAGGAGCCCAGTTCTTCCTTCCCTATTGGTATGATGAGGAGAGGCCTTTGTGGTATGGGATGATGAAGTTAGGGCACCACTGAATGTTCAGGCAGCTCAGCCATTTAATAATAAGTTGTCTGGGAGGGTTGTAACCTTTGTGGAATCAGAGGAAACCAAAGATACTCTCACCCTCTACCTCCATATCAGCACCAGCAAGTGAAAAGCAAGACTGGGATACCCATTCTCTCTTCCTGTCTCTTGTGCGTGCGTAGATTCCACTCGCAGGGGTAAACCATCTCCTTCAAAAGATTTTCTCCTACCTTCTCTTGCCACCCTGCTCATCCACACTCACCTGCCCTCGCAAGTATACTCAGTGTCACTGCTTCCCTCCAGGACTTTCTGGAGAAGGATAGGAATGGCTCCATTAAGTATAAGACAGTGAATCTTTCATGTGCCCTTTAAATTTGAAGAGCCCACACAGGCAAAGCAGCACTCAGTTGAGGTCATTAGAAAAATCATAACTGCTTATATGTACAAGCTCCACTGGTCCAAGCCACTCATGCTTCAGATGCAGGTGTGCAGGCCCAGTGAGGCTAAGTGGTGTATTTGCACGAGTTCTAGCCTCCTTACTGGGAGAACCAGCCTGGACCCAGCCTCCTGCTTTTGCTCCAAGGCTAAAAATCACCCCCGTTATTTTATGAGGCACCAGTTCTGATTCTTGGTGGGTTGTCAGACTTTTGAGATAGGACAAAGTTCGTGTGTGTGTATCAGAAATTCCTTCTACTAGACTGAATATTCTAGTAGTAATGTGACTTTGAACTTTGGACTTTATTAAAATCCAGCTAAAAACTATTACACAGACTTTAAAAATTAACCTGTTTGTGCAGGCTTCTTGGAGATAACAGCCCAGTTGACTCCTCCTGCTAAGCTATTTAACCCATACGTGAAATAATTCCCTTAAAGAACTCTATGTTTACTTAGTTCAACAGAAATGAGGATTTCTTTTTTTTTAGAGACAGAGTCTCATTCTGTCACCCAGGCTAGTGTACAGTGGTGCAATCATAGCTCACTGCAGCCTCAAACTCCTGGGCTCAAATGATCCTCCCACCTCAGCCTCCCCAGTGGCTAGAACTACAGGTGCATGCCACCATGCTCAGCTACTTTTTTCTATTGTTTATAAAGAGACCGTCTTGCTATATTGCCCAGGCTGGTCTCGAACTCCTGGCCTCAAGCAATCCATCCATCTCAGCCTCCCAAAGCACTGGGATTATAGGTGTGAACTACCGCACCTGGCCAGAAGTGGGGATTTCTGCTCCTAAGTCCTAAAGGCGGATGCTGTGTTCCTTAAGTCCAATGATGCTCAGAGATTGCTGGGGGCAATGTCATCATAGTCATCATCATCATAATAGCAAACACATATGTGGCATTTATGATACCAGGCACTGTTCTCAATATTTTACATGAATTAATTCACTTATCATAACTTTTTTTGAGATAAGTACTAATAATATCCCCATTGAATGCAGCCAGGGAAACTGAGACACATAGAAGTTAAGTAATTTGTCCAAGTTAGTAAGTGATGCAACTCAAAGTAAAGGAAGAGGGTAGCTTTTGGAAATAGGGCAGGGCCAATGCAAATTTTAGGCCAAATTGCGTTTAGGGAGTCTGATGATTACCAAAAACTTTTAACCCAACTGATTATAATAGCTAATGTAACAATCTTTCCAGCATTTTGAATTCCCCCAACACAATTTAACATATAAACAGGTTCAATCTGGGAAGATAAAGTATTTAGTGACTCTGATAGTAGAACTAGTATTATCAGACTGTAGGTACCAATCATTACCATTTATTTCTCCATGCCAACCCTTGGGAAATCAGTTTTACTAACCTTAGGTGTTTTTATTTTATAAGAGACAGAACTACATTACTATCAGCAGAGATTCAAGCAATAAAGTTATATAAATGTACTTTAAACTCATTAGAACACTCAGCAAACAGTGAGGTAATATTCAACATAGGTGAAGTGTTTTCACTCTTAAATAAGTGTGTAATTAAGCATATTGATTCTTTGGTCATGCTAACTTAAGACACTACGAATCCTTCTTTGAAGACTCATTTTAAGTAAACATTATTTTCTCTTCAAAGGGTGCCACTTGAAGAAGATATGAAATATATTACCAGCTTTGTAGTTCTGCACAAGTGGGCCCATCTTTTAGGCCCAAAGTTATTCTCTTGAATATCTCTGAGTTTTTTCTCCCAGCAAGGCATACTGGGAAAAAGTACTCTGTTTAATAACTAATTTCATTAAACTTGAACACTATTCCATTCTGGAGATCTGGAGATTTCTCTGACTGTTATTTTAGATGCCAATATCAGGGAATAGACTGTACAGTCTATTAAATCTGGATCTTACTTTTAAATTGAATGTGATTTCTTTTATTTATCAACCTCTAATTAATAGTTGGTTGAGTACTTTATAAAAAAAAGCACTTCTGGCAGGTGCGGTGGCCCATGCCTGTAATACCAGCACTTTGGGAGGCTGAGGTAGGCGAATCATCTGAGGTCAGGAGTTTGAGACCAGCCTGGTCAACATGGCAAAACCCTGTCTCTACTAAAAATACAAAAATTATCCAGGTGTGGTGTCATACACCTGTAGTCCCAGCTACTCAGGAGGCTGAGGCAGGAGAATCACTTGAACGTGAGAGGCAGAGGTTGCAGTGAGCTGAGATCATGCCATTGCACTCCAGCCTGGGTGACAGAGCAAGACTCCATCTAAAAAAAAAAAAATAATGATAATAAAATAAGCACTTCCTTCTAGTTGCCAGCAAGAAAAAGAGAACTGCCATTTATATTCCTTATAAATATTTCATACCTTTCTGTCTTAATTTTTGTTTTCATCTTTTTAATACTGATTTTTCTACCTGGAAAAGTACTGTATGGAGTTTGTTTATATCTTCATGCAGGTCAGCCTCATTCTCTTCAATTCATTCCTTAGGAGTGTCCTTTATTTCATTACATTTTTCTGGCAAGGTTTCTTCTTAGATGAGATCATATTTATGCCTCCACAGATTTATTTGATTGATCTGAGAAAGAGAAGAATATCCGCTCTCCAAACCTCCCTTTCTGTCCCTCAAAAGTGCAGACTTGAAGGTGGCCATATTGCAGCTCTTGTCCAGAACCTTCATCACGCATTCACTCATGCACCAAACACACAGCTCAGGTAGTGTGCTCATGATGCAAAGATGGCTCAGGCACGTTGATGCTGCTGATGATTTTCAGTGGGAAGAAGCAAGGATATGCATGGAAGCACTTAACAAGGAGGTGCACAGAGTGTCCTGCTGTCACTATTTCTAGTCCACAGTGTGGCCAACGCTGATTCATCCTGGGGCAACCCCAAGCACAGTAGGCTACCTTTATTTCTAGGTAAAATATTTTAAAAGCTTGAATGTAGCTTAGAAATTTAGAGCGGAAAAAAAAAATACCAGTGATTCAGTACTTTAAAAACATGGAATAAAGTGAAAAACTGCTTTGACCAGGGCAGCACTAGAGAGTGGTGCATACAAAAGTGCCCTGTCATGTTTGAGTGTTGAAGAACATGCTCTCCATTGTGTTCTGTGTGGTGAGGGCACCTCTCAGGCCTGGAGAGTATGTATGCAGGGACTGCCGGGCAAAGGCTCAGTCCTGGGATCCACTCCTGTATCTCCCCTGTGCACCACAGGAGAGCAACAGAGAGCACAAAACAGATCATTCCTGCTCTGGGCAGGACAGGAAGGGTGACCCGAGTTTCATCAAGGTCTCCTGGAGTGCCTTGGAAAAGCATGCTATAGAGTCATAAGCTTAATTATTGATGACTCTGAACAATTTCTTGGAACTTTCAGCAAGAACATGCGTGCTTAACTCATGAATCACGGCTGAAGTCCACCATTAATTTCTGCCACATTGTGGCCTTACTGCCATAATCGTAGGTATGGTATCTCTCGCCAGCTCTCCCCTGCCAGGTCTCTGGCGTGGGGTTTATCTTTGAGGAAATATTGCCTTTCTAGAGGAAGATAAATTTGCATCTGGGTGTGAACTTAATTCTTTAAAGTTAAATGTCTAAGTCCTTGAGTTAACGACAAAGGTACACATATACTTATATGTTCTTATTCCTTGGAAAGCAGCGTTCAAAAGTGATTCTGAAACTACTGGTTACAAAGTTTGCCTAATCAAAGTTCACTTCATCATATAAAAATCTTGCTCATTTCTACGAAATGCACTCCCTGTTACCTATCCAACCTTGGTTTTACTTTCCTCCAGCTTGCATCTTCTGCCTTATTTAAGTGGCTCACCTCAGTGTCCCCCAACATACATTATTCTCATCCTAGCCTGAGTTTTTCACTGTCATCCTACATATCTGAACTATCCTTTCCCCAGAGTGATTTTCTCCTAATTTTTAAAGGCCCAGCTATGGTTTCCTTATTCCAATAGCCCTTCTAGATGTGATTCCCATAGGGGTCTTTTTCTTCCCTGCGTCCTTTTGGTCTGCTATGTAATGTTACATATAAATTGTGCAAAAATGCTTTCATGTGCATAACTACCTTCTGCTACCTCAATTGCACGTTGATGATGATGATGCCTTTGAACCCATTATGCCTAATATAGTGCTACAACTGTTTTCTGATTAGTGGATGATCCCTATGCCAGCCAATTGGACCTTAAAAAAAGAAAAAGTCCCAGCATTTCAGAAATTACACATTTGCTTTTCTTTGGATCGCCGTTTTATCTGTGGATTCATTTCTTTTGTTTGGCAGGTCAAAAAAATTCCAGTCATTTATTGAGAGCTGCTTGGTAAAGAATCACAGCCAGCGACCAGCAACAGAACAATTGATGAAGCATCCATTTATACGAGACCAACCTAATGAGCGACAGGTCCGCATTCAACTCAAGGACCATATTGATAGAACAAAGAAGAAGCGAGGAGAAAAAGGTTAGACGCACATTTGTATTTCAGCAGCAGAAACAAAAGATGGAGTGAATCATGGGCGCTTGATGTATTTGGAGGTGACTATGGGGATTTCAAATGGGCCTGCATTATTCTTTAGTGCGAGGGGCTGTCTCTGAGACCACAGCCTCTGGGCATCAGTGGCGTGAGACTATTGAAGTAGAATCTTTCATGAAAAAAATAGAACTGCAAGAAACATTACCTCTGCCAGGCACTGAACAAAGTCATGTTGAATGATACTATGAAGTACTTTAATATGACAAGTGATTTTCTTAATTCAAATTAATATTCATGTTTAGAAGACTAAAACTCTACAGAAGACAGATAACCTAAAGAAAAAAATTCATCTAGTTGACATTTTTCTGTACTGACATTCTTCAACATTTAAATTTATGTGCTCTGAGGCTCATTTCTAATTCTGTTATTTAGAAGTCAGAAATAATTTTTTTATAGTTGCAGTGATAGAAAAGATCATTAGGTTGCCAGGCTTGCTGAATGGAACATCAGATTTTTGAGCTGAAGGTCATTTAACACACTTCTTTATTTTATATATGCAAAAGCACATCTTTGTGACTCTAGCTCTTATATGTCACTGTCTCTTCACTGCATCATTGAAAGAACATGAGTCCAAACTTGGAGTCTCAGGCTGCACCCTACCTTTTTGAATGGAAGCTTACATTTTTAACTAGCATAGAAATGGTATGCTAATACTGTATATTAGGGAACATTGAGGTGAGCTGCCAAATGAGACAAAATGCAAGCCAAAGAAAAGTGAAACTAAGGTTGGATGGGTAAGGGGAGTGCATTTTGTAGAAATGAGCAAGATTCTTATATGGTGAAGAGAATTTTCATTAGGCAAATTTTGAAACCAGTAATTTCAGAATCACTTTTGAACTTTGCATTCCAATTAACAACTCATGAGTCATAGCTAAGGTTCACCACTAATTTCTACTACATTGTGTGCTTGCTGCCATAATCATCGGTATGGTATCTCTCACCAGCACTCCCCTACCCTGTGCCTCTCTGGCATAGGATTTATCTTTGAGGAAACAGTACCTTTCTAAAGGAAGACAAATTTGTTCTTGGAGATTGACTAGCATATTGACTGCGCCATGACCAAGGTAAAAACTTGCATGGTCTGGAGCAGGTTTAATGGCTAGCTGAGGTAGGGCAAGTTAGAGTATGGGAAGAGAGAAATGGAGAGGACAGCAGTGAGGGCTTTCTGGGTAGACAGCAGGAGGGGGTTGCTGCTGGGAGGATAGCAGTGAAAGGCAGTGTGAGGCTGGAAAGCTGAGCATTAACAGTGTGGTGAGTGGACAGTAGAGAGGAAGACCAGAGACTGAGGATGGGAGGGGAGGCACATGGTGATGTGCTTGTTCTTGCTTCCTTCCTCTCCATTTCTCTCCTCTCTTCAGTTCAGAGGCAGTAGCGGAGGGTAGCCCACAGACAGGACAGAGGCTGCCTTTCTGTTATTTGCATTTCCTTTCTTCTTTGCCTCTGCAGTTAATACCCATAACACAAGCTGGGGACTAGCGGTGGGGGCGGTGAGCAGTATGAAAGTTGAGACTGGATTGGAGAGGTAAGATCAGCAGAGGGCTAAGGCAGGATGAGAGAATCTCAGTGAAGGTTCCAGAAAGAGTTCCTTTTTTTTTTTTTTTTTTTTTGAGATGAGTTCTAACTTTGTTGCTCAGGCTGGTCTCAAACTCCTGGGCTCAAGGGATCCTCCACCTCAGCCTCTCAAAGTGCTGGGATTATAGGCATGAGCCACCCACCCAGCACTTTTTTTATTTTTTATTTTTTGAGACAGGCTCTGTCTCTGTTGCTCAGGCTGGAGTGCTCACTGCAACCTCTATCTCCCGGGCTCAAGTGATCCTCCCATCTTAGCCTCCCAAGTAGCTGGGACTACAGGTGCACACCACCATGCCTGGCTGATTTTATATTTTTTTAGATTTTTAGTAGAGACGAGGTCTCACTATGTTGCCCAGGCTGGTCTTGAACTGCTGAACTCAAGAAATCCTCCTGCCTCAGCCTCCCAAAGTGCTGGTATTATAGGCATGGGCCACCAAACCCAGCCCCAGGGAAGAATTCTTATGCAGCTAGCAGGGACTTGAAGGAATGTATGATCAGCTTAGACTATCATACATTGTTGTGAAGCTAGGCCAAAACGGTGGCTCATCTGCAGTTAATAAGATGTCAATTAGACCCTAAGGAGCTGGGAGGCCAGCCCAAGCTGGAGGAACTAGGCATGAAGAGAAATACATAGGTCAAACTCAAAAGTTCCAGGACTGATTTTTCAATTGCTCCTTGTCCATGGTGGTCTTGGGCTACTCCATGAAGTCAGAATTTTTAAGGGCATATTTTAGGGCAGTGTGTCAGACATGCAACCATTAAATGCTAACTTCTCTCAAAAGGACATTTTATTATACGGTGAATATATAGCATAGTTTAAGTGCTCAGACTGTTTTCAGATTCATATTCTGGGTTCAAATTCTAACTCTGCCCCTTATCAGTTATGTGAACATCACTCCAGTTTTCTCATCTTTAAAATAAGATTGAGAGTATACTACTAATATCTACTGCCTCAAATAGTTGCAAAGATTAAACGAGGTAATGCATTTAAAATGCTTGACATAATGTCCAGGACATAGATGCACTCAGTAAATATCAGTTATTCTTATGTAGGCAATTACTTATTGACCCATACTTTTTCATCACTTACTCAGAGTACTTTGTGAGAACTCATGACCCATCTCCCTCTGGGGCATAAATAAGAGTGATTGAAGCCTGTGCCTCAGGTTGTTTCCACATTTTGTGGGGCACAAACTCTGGAATGTGACTCAGAACTCACCATGCCATGAAGATAGATCATTTTTAATGTGTTTGTTCTCTGCAGAGTGGAAAAGTAAGATTCTTGGGAATAGGTATGTTCAAGAGTTATGTAGTAATTTAAGGAATCTAAGCCTGTTTAGGCTTAGGGCCACCAGAATCACAGTTCTAGTCTCCTTTTTGTCTGCTCCCCAAGGAATGGTGTTTGATCAAATGAGATCTAATTCCATTTGTTCAGTTTAATCAAATGACTTAGTTTGCTCTAATATTACTTTTCACTTTCTTAGTTGTTCTATGACCAACTTTTGGTAGAATCAATCAAAGCAATTCTATTTTGCATTATTTGTGATTTTTTTCAACCTGATATTTTTTCCCTAACATATGCTGACACATGCCAAATTTAACCCAGTAATATAAAAGCAGTCAAAAGCAAATTTTGGTGAAGTATTAAATATTAAATTGAGAAGCCTGACAAATGAAGGATTTACCCTAGAGAGTAGAAGTAATTGGAATAATTGTGTGCTTCTTTTCCTTGCTGTAATTTCCTTTATTAGATAAAATTTCTGCATTTTTACTTTGAAATCTGTTTATTCATTTTGAAAAAGTTTGGAATATTTCATTTTTAGGGTGGAGTATTAAAATGCTTTATGCAGGTTCTTTATATTTTGGTGAACTAATATTTTAAAAATAAGTAGCCTGAAAGCTTCATACATACCTAAATGTATGAAGCTAAGTTGTGATTTTAAAAATACACTTGAACTCATCAAACTTTTGGCTTTCCTTCATTATCTCTTTAATGGCTAGTGTGAAAAGCAAGGCATGTTTATCAAATCTGAGCATTCTCACTGTGTGACTGCTGCCTCCTGGTGGTAACATAACTAAATTGCAGTTTCAGTTTCTTTTTAGGGATGTGCAAATGTCTTCAAGGTTGTAATTATTAACCTACAGCTATGAAGAGATAGGAGTAATGTGACACCTTCCTTTGCTTAAAAGCTCCTCCAAGGGTTCCTCATTGCCAATAGGAAAGTTCTCAGCATGGCATTTATAAGAATCAGTGAGCCATTTCATCCCTGCCAGCCTTTGTCCCTCCATAAGGTTTTCTCACACCCAGGCACCTAACTACTCACAGCTCATTGTTTCCTGAACATATTATGCACTGTAATACTGCCAGCCTTACTCATGTGGATATGTTGCTTAGAGTGTCCTTTTCCCACAAGTGCCAGCTGCTAACTGCCTGGAGAAGGGCCACTGACCTTCCAAAGCCCAGTTCATTTTTTCTCCAAAGACTTCAAGTCTCTTCCTCCATTATGACCAGTGGCACTAGCTGTTCCTTTCTTTGATATCTCATTGCTCTTTATATGTACTGCTATTTAGCATATAATATGTTGGAAAGAGCACTATTTTTTAAGTTGGAAAAGTTCTGGATTGAATTCTAAATCCAAATCCTAGATTGACCTTTTATTAATGAGATAACATTGGTTATATTACTTAACCTCTTGTAATTTCAGTATTCTTGCTTGAAAAATAGACACTAATTTGGAGGGTTATTATGAAAAATAAATGAGAGAACAGAGTAAAATATCTAGCAGTAGTGACTGGTGTGGGAGATACCCACTAAATATTCCTTCCCTTTCTTCACAATCATGAAGGCTCTGATATTTACTCATCTCACATATTAGATTTGATCTCTTCCAAAGCAAGCCTCAATCTTATTCATTCACACATGTAAACTGCTTCCCATTTTGCTGAATTAAAGGACTGTCCCTAGTGGATCAATCAAAACACATTTTAAATATAGATATACATTTTTTAAATTTTAAATATATATTTGAGACGGAGTCTCACTCTATCACCCAGGCTTGAGTGCAGTGGTGCGATCTTGGCTCACTGCAAGCTCCACCTTCCAGGTTCATGCCATTCTCCTGCCTCAGCCTCCCAAGTAGCTGGGACTACCGGTGCCTGTAACCACGCCCAGCTAATTTTTTTTTGTATTTTTAGTAGAGATGGGGTTTCACTGTGTTAGCCTAGATGGTCTCGATCTTCTGACCTCATGATCCGCCCACCTTGGCCTCCCAAAGTGCTGGGATTACAGGCGTGAACCACCGCACCCGGCCACTATATATTTTTAATAGCACCTATTGTCAAAAGTTTCTTTGTTGCACTTAGCAAAATAGTCTAAAGACAGTTTGCAAGTCCATGTAAGTCATAATAAAATCCTACTTTAAAAATGGTTAATACCATCAATAAGTTACAAAGGGCCAATGGGTTTGATATGGGTGGCTTTATAGTGGGAATAACACAAACAAATTATTATTATTATTATATTATTATTTTGAGACAGGGCCTCGCTCTGTCGCCCATGCTAGAGTGCAGTGGCACGATCTTGGCTCACTACAAGCTCCCCCTCCTGGGTTTGCGCCATTCTCCTGCCTCAGCCTCCCAAGTAGCTGGGACTACAGGCACCCGCCACCACGCCCGGCTAATTTTTTTTGTATTTTTAGTAGAGACGGGGTTTTGCCATGTTAGCCAGGATGGTCTCGATCTCCTGACCTTGTGATCCGCCCGCCTCAGCCTCCCAAAGTGCTGGGATTACAGGCGTGAGCCACCGTGCCCGGCCAAACAAGTTATTTTTAATTGAAATTAAATTAATAAAAAAATTAAAAAATTATTTTTTAATTCCTTCTCATGTGAACACTAGGCACTGGGGACAGATATCTAGAGTCAGCCGAGACAGCCTTGAATGTGGTTAATTTCATATACTTATGGGAACCATTAAATCACAAGCCTGGAGACCGTTCCAGCGCTGTGTTAACTACAACTCTTTGGGTGTCTATTTATTTATATATAAGAGACGGGGTTGGGCTTTACTGAGCCATAGCATCTTTTTGTGCACTAACATGCTGGGATCTTTCTTCAGATGAGACAGAGTATGAGTACAGTGGAAGTGAGGAAGAAGAGGAGGAGAATGACTCAGGAGAGCCCAGGTATGAGAGCAAAAGCCAAGTCTTCTAATGTTCACATTCTGAATTGTGCTTGTGTGAAATTCACTTTCCTTTTGATTTATAGGTTCGTTTTTAAGAATCCACCAGGGTGGTCTTATTTAATTTATTGCCCATGAACATACTCATTAATTTGGGAAAATTTCCCTAGGCAGACCATTACGAAAATGTGGAAATCAGCATATTCTTTATCTTGTCCCCCAAGATTTATGGTCTCTATCGTAAGAGCTTGTTTTCTTACATATGTAACACGTAGAATGGGTAGAAGGCTAATTATCTGGGCAATGCAGGACTAAAAATACTTAAAACTGCAACTTTCTAGAGACCTAAGTGGTATTTTCGGACTTGCGTTATTCAGTTCGTTACTTCACACCTTTGAGAAGCCCATTCGGGTAGCCACTGTCCTTGTCACATGCCTTGGTATTTTCATTGCAGCCTAATCCAGGAGAAAGTGATTTTCAGAAAATCAAATTATATGTAGAGATGAACTCCAAACAAATACTTTTGGGCCATTCCTGTTGTCACCTGTTGGACCTCAGAATCCAGGGCTGTTTTATTGTCATGCCTACATTTTGAATTCCACTTGACTTTGATTCTGACTTTCTTCTAGTCTGTGTTTATAAGTAATTAAGGTTAGTGTGCTTGCACTGCCAGGATATCTCTTTGGTGAGCGAATTCAGCTTGTTGAGTCAAGGAGGGCAGGCCCACATCCCATGGTGCCATGCAGTATACATGTGAAGTAAGACTTGGGGGGAATTGCACAAGCAGAAGACTCATTGAGGTGTGGCCTCCCTCCTCAAGCCATCCAAGGAGTGGACCCTAATGCTCCAGAAGGATCAGTTCCTGTACCACTGAGGGAGAGCTTTCTGACCAGAAAAGGGGCCAGCTTAGCCACCACTGCTAGAATGAGCCAGATACCATGTGTTCTTTTTTTATGCTAACTCAGACCTACTGAGCTGGATTCTTGCTAAGCTTCTATAAGAAGATGGAACTGAGCTTTCAGAGCCATCCAGTTTTTCTCTCTTCACCTGCCACAGGATTCCTCAAGGTCAAAGACCGAATACTTCTTTCCTACCATCTGATACATAGCATGTTGGCCGTCCCCGGTTTAGCTGCATAAAGAAGATGACTGCCAAGTAGTGACATAGAAAATGAACATTCCTGAAAGGCAGAGGACCAAACGCCCTGCTTTCAGAGAAGTTGTACACCAGTGTTCAAAAGCTTACCCAAAAGGTTACTGTGTCAGCCTTCTGACCACTTTCTGTAGAACTGAGAAACCCTGTCTTTCTAACACTTGCTAAACTGCATATTAGGAGTCACTCAACGAGCCAGCCCAGCCGTACCTTAACACTTCCGTAATTATAACATGTCATTATATCATGCTGAAGATTATGTTCCAAGTCCTGTTGTTGTTGTTATTATACTTTAAGTCCAAGTCCTGTTTTTATGGACGTATCTAATTAATCTTCATGAAATCCTGAAAAATAGAAAAGGACAATGGTTATCTCATTTTAGAAATGAGGCGACAGCCTAAGGGTTGCACCCAGGTCACACACAGAGTTAATGGTTGAGTCACTAACACAGCTCAGATCTTCTGACATTGATTCAATATCAATTAATATTAATGGAGCATCCTCGTGTGCATGGGAGGCTGGGTTCCCAAGTCCCTCCCCTCTGCACAGGGCAAGTGGCCTGTGTAGATAAGCACCATCGTTTGGGGTTTTAGAGTTTGACACAAAGGCTCTAAGTTTTAGAGAAGGCTTGTGAGTAGACGCCAAGCATTGTCTATGGAACATCACGAACAAAGCCTTTTTATGTCTTTTCATGGCAGTATCTCACACAGCACACTAACTACTCTCCAAAACCGATCCTTGGTCCTCTTGTTAACTGCCACGAAACTTGCTCCTCCCTCAGCATTCCTCATTCCTGTTCTCGTTACCACCGTCACCCAGCCACCAAGACAGAACCTGCAAGTCATCCCTCACTCCACATGTCAGATCTGTCCACAGGCTTCGTGACCTCTATCCCCAAACGCTCCTTCCCTCCTCCACCCGCTCTGCTCTCGCCCTGGGTGGTGTCCCCACCCCAGAACCACTCTGCAGCAGCAGTCCGGCTTGCTGTGCTTGCCCCTGTACCCCTCGCTAGGTCATCCATTTAGCAGCCAAACCCATCTGCTCATGTTGCTCTTCTGCATAAAACCTTCCCGTGCCTGCATGGCTGTCGCGGCCCCGCACCTATCTCTCTGACCTCCTCTCATACCCTTCTCCCTCTCATTCACTCTGCTCTGGGAAGCCGGGCTGGTGTTCAGTTGCTCAAAAATAGGGTGCACCCCTGTTTTCCTCTCAGGCCTCTAAACCTGCTTTTCCCTCTGCCTGGAACGTTCTTCCTTCTTCATCAACTGCTTCCTTCCCAGAGAGGTCTTTCTGACCACCCATCTAAAGTAAGGCCTCAAAGCTTACCTCAGCTCCCAGCCACTGTCACTGAAACAATTACAATTTTAGTCTTCTATAGAGCCTATTAATACCTGAAATTATTTGTCTGTATGTGTGTCCCATAAGAAGATAACTTTAAAGGGAGAATTTATCTAGCAACTGCCGTATCCTTAGAGCTTACTACAGTGACTGCCACATAGCAGGTGCTCCGTAAATATGTGTTTAATAGATTTATTTCAAATGGAAGCTTCCAGAAAGATTAAAAGGGCTACGTTTGAATAAACAGAAGTCATTTCTTAGCTCCCTCTTAGGCTGCTGTGCAGAATCAAGGAGTCTGTAACATTTAGTTGTTCACCTGCGAGCAGGGCAGCCCAGGACCACCAGCGAAGTAGGTAGAACTTATTTATGTCCTCTCGATCTCTGTCGTATGCACACACATTCATGTACAACCACCATTTTACAGAAGACAAAACTGTTACCTAAACAGAATCTAGGAACCAATGAGCTGGGTTGAAGTCCTAGCTGCACCTGCTGTGGCCAGAGCCAAACCAAGCCCTTTAAGTGTGGTACAGTCAGGCAAACCCTGACTTGGACTCAGCAGGCTTGGGCTCAGATCCTGGCTCTGTGTTGACCTTGACTCAAGGGTTTTCCATCGCTAGTTCATCGTGGCTTCACAGGAGCAGCCTGGCCTCTGCCTCATGGGGTTTGGTGTGAGGGGGTGGTGTGGGTGAGGCCGATCTGTGCTTGTCTGAGTACCCTTGTTGCCCACCATTGTCCATTTTTATTGAAAATAATCCAGTCTGGGGCTCATGGCTTGCACACTGGCTAAAGTCTTTAAAAACAAATCTTTGCCACGTCCCAAGGATGAGGGAGTGGTGTGGACAGTCCTGGAGAAGGTGACAACTCTGAGAATGTGACATCCCTCTATGGATGGAGGCAGCATTTGTTGGCCACAGTCGTACTGAAAGGGAGGCAGGTCTCTTATCCTGATGCTGTTTCTTTGGGGTGAATGATTGAATTAGCGGAGGATCTAGGAGCCTGTGCTCTTCTTTCCCTGTGTGTGGGTGAATCATTTGTCCCGCTTTCCTCCTCCAAGGCCTCTTGGTAGCCATGGCCCCTGCCCCACGTGGGATCCTGATCACTCTCTCCTACCCACAGCTCCATCCTGAATCTGCCAGGGGAGTCGACGCTGCGGAGGGACTTTCTGAGGCTGCAGCTGGCCAACAAGGAGCGTTCTGAGGCCCTACGGAGGCAGCAGCTGGAGCAGCAGCAGCGGGAGAATGAGGAGCACAAGCGGCAGCTGCTGGCCGAGCGTCAGAAGCGCATCGAGGAGCAGAAAGAGCAGAGGCGGCGGCTGGAGGAGGTGAGGACCTGCTCGGGCCACCTCTGACCCCAAGCCTCTCAGTTGTGGTCACTCTCCAAGCATTCCCTGGGGGCCCACATCCCACCTGTGAGCACACAGAGCTTAGAGGCACAAAGGGGTTGACTGCAAGGGCAGATAAGTCCTGAATGCTCTTACAAACAAAAGGCTTCCCTTGCTTTTTGTGGTGGTGTGGTCATTTCAGAAAAGCAGGTGAAGGCCGTCACCCCTTCCTGTCTTGCCCATATATCACCTTCTCAGCACCTTCTCAGCTTTACTTAAAGTCACAGTCCCTCCCTCCAGCATGTCCTATTTCCCTGCCCTGCCTTATTACTTTTACACAGCCCTTAGCACCTTCAAATATAGTCTACATATACTTTTACATGCCTGAATGTCCCTACTGGAATTTAAGCTCCATCAGGACAAGGAGATTTTATCTCTTTTATTCCCTGATGTATCTCTAGCATGTCGTAGGTGCCTCATAAATATCTGTGGAATGAGTAATATATGAATGAATGGGTCAGTAGTTGAGAGGTGAAATATAGGTATTAACTAGATCACAGTGAATAAGCAGATAAGTGGAATTTCAAGTATGGAAGAGTAGGACCTGCCTATTGATGCTCTGAATGCTAGGAAGAATGTTTCACAGATCCTTTCCCAGACATCCCTTAGTACCCAGGGCCTGTCCTCCAGCCTGTGGGCAAGACCTGCCTTTAGCAGCAGATACTGCTTATCTGTGTGGGAAGCCATACTGCTAGCCACAGTTGGCTGCATGCCTTGTCCTGGGCCAGACTCTCACCTTGTGGTCTTACAGACATTTGTTAAAGCCTCCTTCCCAGAACTTTGCCCAGATATCTCAGGCCTCCTTCCTCTGCCAGATAAATCAAAGCCTCTAGACAATTAGGAAACCGAGAGAGCATATCTATTGGGGAAGTTGGGCAGCAGATGAAAGGCGCACTAACTGCACGGTAATGGGATAGTAATTTTACAGGTTTCCCGAACACCAGCTTGCTTCTCATTAACGGGCTTGCAGCAATTCACTTGCTTTGCCAGGTGGCCACTGAAGATTTAGAGGGTGGTGAATTGCAGTCACCAGCAGCAGATTGCTTTTTAAATGGTACATCAAGGTCCAGCCTCCCTGGTTTAAATCAGTAAGGGCCTCAGTTCCAGTTTGCAGCAAATCCCATCAACCTCATTATGTCCTTCAAATATCAGTATCAGACCAGCAACAATAATACCCAATGGTTACAATTATTGAGTGATTTTAGTAATGTCAAGTACCAGGCAGGATGCTTTGCTTATAGCCACTATCTCATCTACTATCATTATCTCTTTTCCTGTATTGATTATCTCTCATGCAAAACTCATAATCCCCATTTAACAAAGAAGAAACTGAGGTTCAGGGAGGGAAGTAATTGGTCCCATGTTGCAGGGTACTGTGTTTAGTACTTTACACGAATTGTCTCATTTAATCCTCACAATAATCTCCAGTCTAAAGATAATGCAGCTGAGTCTTAGAGAGGTTAATAACTTGTTAAAGGTTGAGAAGAAAACCGGGTTTCAGATCCAGGGGATTGGCCTGCAGAGCCTAAGCACCAAGTCACTGCATGTGTTCTGTGTCTCCACTGATAAGTCAAAGTTGGTATGCTTTTCCACATCCCTCATCTGGCCTCTATGTCTATAGTCTTTTATCCTGAACATTTAAGGAGTTCTGCGCAAGGGCACAGAATCTGTGGCCAACAGATGCTCGCCTTTGACCTGGGTTCTGTCTCACGCTCCCAGTCAGAGCTATTGCCAAGGCCTCCTTTGTGTCTCTTCTCTTGTGGCATTTGCTTGAACCTCTACCATGGAGCAAGTCAGAGTTCAGCTCACTGAGGCATGTGCAGCCAGAGACACACCCTGTCAATCCTGGCTTGCACAGAAGACGTCAGCCAGCATGCATGAGGGCACAAGCCTTTTGCTGTATGTACCAATGGGCATGAGCCTTGGCTCCATACCAGAAGCAGGAATGCTTCTGGCCACAGAGCATTGATAGATTATTCCAGCTTTCTCTTTTGATCCTTCATCTTATTCTATAGCGCAGTGGAGAAGAACAAGGAATACTAAGTACTCAGAGAGCTGTAAATTCTGAACCCCTTAGTCATGACATTCTCTCCCACCAGGAACTCTTCTGCTGTGTCCTGCTCCTGCCAGGTCCCCTTCTATGTCTGCTTCCCTGGCCTTTGGTGACCACTTGTGTTTCTGGTGTCCTGAGTAGGAACTTGGACTACATTGTCATATAGAAACTGTTAAAGCCCATAGTTCAGCTTGAGTATTTCACTGCGAGTCATTTTTCCTTTTGTAGGAAAAACATTCCCACTTAGCTACCCCTTTGGTCACACAGGACTATGTAGCTTGTAGCTTTTGTATTTTGTGATCTCAAATGTCACCTCCCACCAGAGGGTTTCTAAGGAAGCCCTGCATGTCCTTTACTATTTATGAGTAACCATGTGGATTTGGCTAAGCTCTAAATCAGTGTCTGTATATTCTTAGAAGGACTTTGAATATACACTGAATGTTGTCACTGATCAGCTTTATGAAAAGGACGTGGCTTCAGGCCAATTAAATGGTGGAGAGAAGACTCAGCTTTTGACCATTGTTGAAGTACAACCTATAACAAAGTTCCAGGAACTTGATTAAACCCAGCTAAAGTGAATGAGTCCATCAATGGTGAGAAAAAGTACAAGGAGGACCTCTTCTAGTTTTACTCAGCTCAATAAAAATTTCTATTACTTGGCATAAACAAAATACATCTTGTTTTATTCTGTATCATGGAGTTAGGATCCAAGAATAATGGGAGCCTTCAGGGGTCAAGGCTTCTACTCTGGTAATCTTGAGCAAGTTTGTGGTGATGTTTGATTCTGCTCAAGAGTTCTGAAATGATATTAGTGATTTATATATGTGTTTCAAATTGCTGAGCACATTCTATACTTTCATTTTGGGGAGCGTGCCTGTAAGTCACAGGAATGAATCAAATAGACCCCAGAAGCACCTGCTCCCTGGTAGTATGTTTTATTCTTTCAAGACTCTTTCAGGACACCAACATTCTCATGTAGTGCCCTTCAAGACCATCCTAACATTGTCCAGTTATAAAAATAACCAGTTCTATCTGGCCAAAAAATATACACTTTGGCTCCATCCCATGAATTTTTTTTTTTTTTTTTGAAGAGATATCACCTGTATCTTATTGGCCAGTAATCATGGAGCATTAATGTACAAAGTAAGAACCTGGCAGCCTAAAAATGTCAGCCCTCTCTAAGCCTCTAACTTTTTATTGTGACTGAGGCTTTCAAGGATGTTAGACTCAATTGTTGTTGTTGTTTTTAAGCATGAGGTTTTTAAGCATAAGGTTGAATTAAAACCTTTTCCTGGGGTCTGTAGGTCATCATTTGACAAATATTCAGTGAACACCTCTGTTGTGTGGGCACCATGTTAGACACTAGAAATACAGTCTCCCATTGTGACGATTAGATCTGTGAGGGAAACAGGCACTAAGCAAATAATCAGCCAAGTAATCATTTATCATCACAGCAATGACTGCCGTGGTGGAGGAGAGTGGCATGCTAAAAGAGCGTGCCACAGGGTGGGAGCCTCACCTGGCTTGGTCAGAGTCCCGCTACAGGAGGGAGTGGGGCACGGAGAGATACCAGGCAGGGAAGCCATGGCACAGTCATGCAGGGCTTTGTAGACCATGTTGATTACTTTTGAATTTTATTCTAAGAAGAGTGGGAAACCATTGATGTGTCTTCACTAAGGGAACAGAATCAGATCTGCCTTTTTCAAATGAAACTTGGGCTGCTGCAGTTGGTGCTGGAAAGAAGCAAGAGTAAATGGAGGAGACAAGTTAGTCTAGGCCAGAGAGTGTGATGCTTTGGACAGATGATGGTGGAGTGGGGATTGAGAAAAGTGGACACATTTGAGACAAATGTAGCCTGTGGACCATGCAGGATGTGCAAGTTGATTAGACATCAGGGATGAGGAAGAGCAGCCAACAGTAATAGTAGTAGTACAATCCATGCAGTTGGATTATGGTAGAGATGGCCATAGAAGAGGGGTCAAAAATAAGAAAAATAGGAATTATTGGTTTGTGGTAATAAAAGTACACATGAGAAGAGAGTGTAGGCCTGAGCTCTAAGAACTCAGAATAGACAAGGAAGAGACAGCAGAGAAATTTGATAAGGAAGTGGAAGGAACACCTGGAGAGTTTGATGCTATAGAAGCAAAGATTTAGTATGCAAGCATAAGGATGGAGTTAAAGGGGCCAGCTCTGCAGAATGCTGCTCAGAGGTCAGGAAGACAATAGCATCTTTTGGTTTCAAATGACAAAGAGGATATTTAAAACATAGTTTTGGCCGGGCGCAGTGGCTCACGCCCACTGTAATCCCAGCATTTTGGGAGGCCGAGGCAGGTGGATCACGAGATCAGGAGATCAAGACCATCCTGGATAACACGGTGAAACCCCGTCTCTACTAAAAATACAAAAAAATAGCCGGGTGTGGTGGCAGGCGCCTGTAGTCCCAGCTACTCGGGAAGCTGAGGCAGGAGAATGGCATGAACCCGGGAGGCGGAGTTTGCAGTGAGCCAAGATCATGCCACTGCACTCCAGCCTGGGCAACAGAGCAAGACTCCGTCTCAAAAAAAAAAAAACAAAAAACAAAAAACAAAACACATAGTTTTTGTGTAGTACTCCCTAGAAATTCTTTCATTTCCTGTCTTTTCTGGGAAGGGAAGCAACCTGCCCAGGGAGTCAGTAGATCTGCACTTGGAGTGAAAAGACGTCAACTTCTGAGGGTCACCATGTACTACTACTACCTGCATGCCCTGGCAGTTCTTATTCTCTCCACACCTCCACTTCCTGAGCTCTGCAGGGAGATCAGTAGCAAAGCTTGTTCCCACCACCAAAGTTTTCCTGAGGATTAACCAGAAAAATGGATATAAAAGAACTTTATTGACTGCCAAAAGCTGGACAGACCTTACTTTTGAGGACTGGTCAAATTCAGCTTAAATATTTCTAATGAGACCCACCTTATGCTTGTGTTGGAATTCTTCCTAATTCCATGCTCATCCATTTGCTATCAGCTTTTTGTTCACATTCTCTGTTACCATGCATTCTTCCTTTTTTCTTTTTTTTTAATTAATTTATTTTTTGAGATGGAGTCTACTCTGTCACCCAGGTTGGAGGCACGATCATCTCAGCTCACTGCAACCTCTGCCTCCCAGATTCAAGCAATCCTTATGCCTCAGCCATCCGAGTAGCTGGGATTACAGGCATGCTCCACCACGCCCAGCTAGTCTTTGTGTTTTTAGTAGAGATAGGGTTTTGTCATATTAGCCAGGCTGGTCTCAAACTCCTGGCCTCAAGTGATCTGCCTGCCTCGGTCTCCCAGAGTGCTGGGATTACAGGTGTGAACCACCATGCCCGGTCACCATTCACTCTTCTCTTAGGGTAACCAAGCCCAGTCTCAAAGCAGCTCAGCTGTGCAAGCTGAAGCCCAAACCCAGAGAAGCCGCTGGTGTGGAAGGTTGTTCTTTGGAACCTTAGTAGCTTCTTCCAAATGCTCCTAGACAGCCTCCACCCACAAAAGAGTGGTGAGGTGGTGGGGAAGCTGCAAGTTTCTCTAAGAATCACAGTGCAGGACAGCATATTGATGCTCTGGAAAGTCCTGGGACAGCAGAGCATTTGGTAAAATTCAGTAGAGAGTGAAATTGTATTTTGGTTAACAGCATAGACTCTAGAGCCTAAGACTGCCAGGGGTCAAATCCCAGCTTTCTTCCTTATTAGGTGTGTGACCTGAGTAAGTTCTTTAACTTTCCTGTTTTACAGTTTCCTCATCTGTAAAGCAAGAAATAACAATAGCATTTACCTCACAGGGCTGTTGTGAAAATTAAATGAGTTAATTCATACAAAGCCTGCCGACATCACTAACACATAGTGAGCCCTCAATAAATATGAGTTGTTCTTGTTATTGGTGTAGGTGCCTTTGACCAAAGTCAAGGAAACAAATTTCCAAAGTTTGAACTCCTTTATGTGCTACAGTAAAACCTTTTTGGATTTATTAAAATAAATGTAAATAGGTAAGCTTCTTTCTATGCTTCGGGAAGAATATTTGTTATAATACTGGGAGGAATTCAGTTATATCATTAAGAGCAATAAATGTCTAATAGTTCTTAGATGGCCAGCTTTAGGTTCGTGTAGAGGTAAAATACACTATCTTTACAGGCCAAGGCCAAGGTTTAATCTTAGCTGTGTGGTCTTTGGCAAATTACTTAACCTCTCTGAACCTCAGCTTCCTTACATGCACATTTGGTAAAATAATATTTACTTTTCATGATTGCTGAGAAGTAAATGAAACCATAAATACAGAGGACTTGGCACAATGCCTAACACAAAACCTGGATTGGTATTCTTGGGTGAATATTTTATTGTTATTTTGGAACTGATGATTTCAAAGTATAGTACTGTTAATTTTGTTTTTCATTTTAATGGTGCTGTCTATAGCTAGCATTTCCCCATTCCCTGTCTTCCTTAATTCCTTAATGTACCTTCCCTGTTTAGTGTAAAACCTTGACTTTTTCATCCCCTTTTGAAAGCATTTTTCCAGAGCACATTTTCGTTATGTCTTACTGGGCTGTTTATCTGCTGGTGAGTTAGCCTGCAGTCCTGGCCTTGTCAGGACAAGGAGGCGGCCCATTCTTTGTCCTTTTGCGGATTTCTTGTTTAGTAGGGTCAACTGCCACCTTGGGAAGTCTCCTTTTCCCAGTGAAACCTAGAGAACCTTCCCCTGGAGAAACTGCCTTCTGATGGATTATCTTATCAGTATTTCTTGCTGTCATTTCCAACACTGTAAATTATGATCCCATCATTGCCACCAAGTGGCTGCATGAAATTTCATTTCCTAACAATATCTAAATAAAGTTCATAAGGAACAGAGATCTTGTGCTGAGTGAATAACAAGCTTCTTGCATCAGGGAAATAGTACCTTCCGAGTGACCCTTTCACCAAAAGGGTGAGAACGTGGCAGTTCAGTAAGACACTGCCTGGGTTTGAATCTCAGATCTGCCACTTACTTCCTTTGTAATTTTGAGCAAGACATGACTTCTCTATGTCTCAGTTTGACCATTTATAAAATGGGATGTAATACATACAAACCACTTAGAACAGTACCTGGCACTGAGTAAACACCTGAATAAGTTCAAGGAGAGTGTTACATGTGAAGGGAAGAATCTTGCTTCTCATTACCTGCTTTGTTATTGCTGCCCTGGGTCATCTCTTTCCAGGGTGAGGCCTTGAAGCTGAATGAAGCCTAGGCAAGTACAGTGGGCACAAGAAGGAGACAGGAAAATCGTGTGGGTTTTTTACCAGTGCAGCATTTCTACCCACTGGACCACACTCCCAGGCCCCAAGCCAGAGGAAAGCACTGTGAGCAAGAAAAATTAATTCCCCCATCTCAGAGCCTGGAGTGTTAACACATCAGCACTGCTGAGAAGTGGTCCTTAATTCACTTAATCATTAACCACAGGTGTCCCAGTGTGTCCTGTGAGCAGTGGCTGGCTAGTTGGAGGCAGCACAGCTTTTTATTCCTGGATGTCATTAGCATCAACACAAGATTGAACACTTTCTAGCTGGGCTTTTGCTCTGTTATTTCAATAACTGAACAGAAATTATGAAACAGCTGGGAACCATCCTGGCAAACCAGATGCTCATTGTCCAGGACAAAGCGTGCCCATGAGCTTTGGATAATGGTCAGTAATCGCATGCACATGTAAATCACACTTGTGTTTCAGGGAGCCGTGTCATCTGCATGGATATAAGGAACCCCACCTCCCAGTGGATCGCAAAAGGGCTTCTTGTTCTAACTTACGTGTTGTGCCAAAGGAGTTCTGACTTTGTCCGCTTTGTCACCTGGATCCTGTGATGGGAGGGATTTCCTGCCACAGTGCGGGAGTTGGGCTGACATCCCTATTTTGTAGTGTAAAATGCTACTGAAATCTGGAGTCCTTTTGCCCAGGCTCCTGCCTACGCTTTTAAGACATAGGAAGGTAGAGTACGCTAGTGTTTTATACTTAACAGCATTTCATACTGAAAAAAAACCTGGAGTTAGGCAGTTGCTGATCCTTGGTGTATCTAGAGTACCTTGCATGGAAGGTAGGGATGGCTTTTTAGTGCCTGCATGCAATGGACATCACACAGACCTACCCTCCGTTGTCTAAGGTCTTCACAGAACCACCTTTATTACATCTAGTCTGTATGTTTTGTGTGTTCACAGTCTTCTTAGTTATTCCTAACCATAGAACTATGACAACAAAATAGTTTCACATGAAATCTTATTTCACATGACATTTAAATTGAATTGCTTTTATTTTGATTCTTGTTTTCTTTAGTAAGTGGTTTTATAGAATCATAGAGGCTGGGGAATATTAGGAACCTCAAAAGTGATCTCAGCCAATTCTTCTCTCAAAGCAAGAATTCCTTTTGCAATATTCTTCAAACAGGGTTATCTAACCTGTTTAACATATAATCTTTCCTTGTATGTCCGTGGGCTTGAGGCAGCACATTCTATTTTTGAACAACTCCTAATGTTGGAAAAGTTATCTTTTCGTTGATTCGAGTTCTTGTGATATCCCTGCATTAATACAGGTTGTGCCAAATAAAACTGAAATTCCCTGCATATCTGCCCTAGAAATGTGTGAAGACATTAATAATGTTTTCCCACAAATGTTACCAGTTCCTGCAACCTTTCTACGTATAAGTTAGCATCTTTAGTATCATCTCGGGAGTACTGGAGTGGCCCTCTCTGTAAATACTGTATTAATAAACTGGTTTATAACTGGCTTGTCTTCATAGGACTCAGTCTGAGGGTCTCATACTAAGGCTTCAGAATGATGACAGTAGGAATTTGGGGGTTTCATCTGCATTTGACTTTCACACTAACATTCAGAGTCGTAGGTACTAGGGATGTCCATTAGGCCATTCTTGCTCCTCTGTATGACACCTGGGAAATCCCGTGTGACTGTTCTCCCAGGAGAAACTGAGGCTCAGAGACACTAAGGAGTTTGTGAATAATCACATTGACTAGCATCCATGGAAGAGGCAGGATGAGAATTCTTCTGCACCGCTTCGTGAAGCTCAGTCTGTTTAGAACTGTCATGCCTCTTTCAGTGTCCGCAAAGACCAGCTTGCACACATGTGCTTGACAGTGCTTAGCCATGGGGCTGTCTGCTAATCAAAAGTTGGCCTGTGAGCACAAAGAAAAGGCTTCACTTAGGCAGTTAATTTTTCAGGAAAGCTCTCAAAGGGTAGGTTGGATAGTTTATCTCTCATGGTGTAAAGTAGGTGTAGAAAGAAAGGAATGAGTTATATCTGGCCTGTCTAGCTTTCCCAATGTTCTCTGATTACTATTTCTGAGAACATTGGGAAAGCTATGGTAGCTTTAAGGTAGGTAACAAGTTAAGGTAGGTAACAAGTAAAGATAGAAAGAGGGGAAAATGGCAACTTTAAAAAGCATTAGACAGTATCTTTTACTTTGTACACACAGATGCTTCTTGTGGACCCAAATGAGGCAGCATGGCAAGAGTCAGGCATGGAATATAAATCCTGGCCTCGCACTTACCAACCGAGTGAACTTGGGCAAGATATTGGCCTGGATGTGCCTCAGTTTCCTTAACTGTCAAATGGGGGTGATGACAGTATTACCTGCCTCAAAGGGTTCTGGTGAGAATTAAATGAGTTAATATGAGTACAGTGCTTGGCATCATAGGCTGCACTACGTAAGTGTTCTTCATTATGCATATAGTTATTATTATTTTTGTTTTTATTTCATTGTCATATAGTGAATTCAGAGGTGCCAGACTGCTTCCTCATCACTCTTGTGTCCTTACATAAAAAAAGGTTTGGAACTCCAGTTTTAGTCACAAGGAATCATGCCCTTACCCTATAGTCATTGGTTTGCAATGATCTTTCCAAAACTAAAACTTTAGCAACGTTAAATGGGAAAATGGAATGCCCAGAAGCTGGAATACCTCTCATCACAAGTATAGCTCCCGTGAAGCTTATACAGAATGGTCCTATTTAAAGTGAGGGGGCATGTGTGATGTGCAGTCAATTCAAAAGACCACACTGGGTCCTTTCATTCTGAGTGTCTTTGAACAGAGAGCCCCTGGGTGGAGGGGATGGTTTGAGGTACTTCCCAAGGAGCCTGACTTGATCTTGCACCAGCCGTTTTCCTGTCCTCTGGAGGCCAACTCGGGTCTTCCACAGTCACAGTAGGGTTTCCTCTCACCGCTTTCAGGAGGTCACCCAAGATGAAAAGCAACAGGAGCTCTCCAAGGGCAAATAAGAATTCTGCTTCGTTTCACTCTGAATGGTTAGATTTTTGCTTTGCAATGTAGCATAACCTTGCTCAGACTCTTAGAATGAACAGATTTGCAAGATTACTTAATCTATACCCTCATTGAAAGTTTAGCTGAAGGTGACTTACTCAAGGTCAAACAACATTCACTCATTCGTCACTTTTTTTTTTTTTTTTTTTTGAGATGAAGTCTCACTCTGTCACCCAGGCACAATCTCGTACAGTGGCACGATCTCAGCTCACTGCAACCTCCGCCTCCTGGGTTCAAGCAATTCTCCTGCCTCAGCCTCCTGAGTAGCTGGGATTAGAGGCACGCACCATCACACCCAGCTAATTTTTGTATTTTTAGTAGAGACGGGTTTTCACCATGTTGGCCAGGCTGGTGTCAAACTCCTGACCTCAGGTGATCCGCTCGCCTTGGCCTCCCAGAGTGCTGGGATTACAGGTGTGAGCCCGGCCATCAAACACATATTTACAGAGCGCTGCTACGTGGTCTTCAGTGTTCGTATTGGTGGCAGTGCAGGACCAGAATCTAGTCTGTTTCCAAACCATTTTATTCTTTCCCCAAGCCCTGTTGCCTCTCTTGCCTACCCCTCTATCCCAATGACACGTTGCATTGCAGCTATAGGATATTAATTCTCAGATGTGGATATCACTTGGGTCCATATAATGGGAAATATGATGTATATAAAAGATGGACCAGGGCCAAGATTTGTTTCTCATTTTTTGGCTTATTATGACTTTTCCTCATTCCAAAAGGAGGAGTTAAGGTGGCTTAAAGAGATTAATACAGCAATTAAAAGTAAAATAAACAAGAAGACAATGTAGAAGGGAACATAAAGTAGAACGGAGAAAGAAGATGCAGGCAGGAGCGGGGTCAGTGCACAGAATGCCTGCACAACATGGCATCCAGCGCTGTTGCCCAGGGCGGTCACCAATCTGCTCTGAGGCCTGACACATGAGAAAAGAGACAGATGTGAAGTGGTTGAGATTCATGTTGTCCATCAGATAAGAGTAAACCAGTTACTCAGACAAGCTTTCTGAGATCACACTGAAAACTATACACTTGCCTAGTAAGTAGTGCAATGAATAATGTCTGAGGCAATATTCCTGGCATAAATGCAGTGGTTAGCTTTATTCAGCTATTTTGAAGACATCATAAAATGCAATTTTATGGCATTGCAGTTCATCAAAGTCACTTCTATGAGAGCTAGAACACCCTGGTGTAGGTGCGTACTTTTCTGCTTATCTAAAGTAATCTAAGAAGAGCATTTAAACAAAAAAAAAAAAAAAAAGGAAAGACTGACTCCACAGCCCTTGTGAGGAATATGCATGAGGATTATCTCTTAAAACTAGACCTCTAATGACAATTCAGAATTTAAGGGTTGAGGTGATATTCTCTGCAAAGAATTTAAACAGCAAAAATTCTACATAGCCAATTTGGGATAAATGCATTACCTTTGAGGGCCCCCTGAACAGGTGGGACAAAATTACTATTCCCTCATTAAAATTAACTAACAAATTCACATGCTTGAAAGTGCAGCCACACAGCCTCCACCTAGAGGTAGCGTGAGGGGAGCATTCATAGGGAGGATCAAAACTGCCCCCAATAGATCCCCAGATCCAGCAATCCCACCACTGGGTGTATAGCCAGAGGAAGGGAAGTCTGTGTGTTCAAGAGATAGCTGTGGCCGGGTGCGGTGGCTCACACCTGTAATCCCAGCACTTTGGGAGGCCGAGGCGGGCGGATCATGAGGTCAGGAGATCGAGACCATCCTGGCTAACACGGTGATACCCCGTCTCTACTAAAAATCCAAAAAATTAGCCAGGCGTGGTGGCGGGCGCCTGTAGTCCCAGCTACTCGGGAGGCTGAGGCAGGAGAATGGCGTGAACCCGGGAGGTGGAGCTTGAAGCGAGCTGAGATTGCACCACTGTACTCCAGCCTGGGCGACAGAGCAAGACTCCATCTCAAAAAAAAAAAAAAAAGAGAGAGATAGCTGTGCTCCTTTGTTTATTGCAGCACTATTCACAATAGACCAGATATGGAATGAACCCAAGTGTCCATCAGTGGATGCGTGAATAAAGAAAATGTGGTACTTACATACAATGAAGTACTATTCATCCATAAAAAAGTGAGATTCTGTTGTTTGCAGCAACGTAGATGAACCTGGAAGACATTATATCAAGTGAAAGATTCCAGGCACAGAAAGACAAATACCATATGATCTCACTCACTGGTGGAATCTAAGATGTCACTCTCATAGAAAGAAAGAGTAGAACAGTGGTTACCAGAGGATTGGCAGGGGGCAGTGGTGAGAGACTGGTCAATGGGTGCAAAGCTATAGACGAGAGGAATAAGTGCTGGTGTTCTATTGCATAAGAGGATGGCTGAAATTCACAATGTATTACATATTTCAAAATAGCTATAAAAGGTTTTTGAATACTCTCGTCACAAAGCAATGGTAAGTGTTTAAGATGGTAGATATGCTAATTACACTGACTTGATCATTACATAATTTATACATGTATGTAAACATCACATTGTACCCCATAAATATGTCCAATTATTACATGTCAATCATAAATATTTAAAATAAGAACTTTTAAATATTTCATGCCTTTCTCTAATGTCTAAAATAAGAAATTTAAAATATCTTAAAATAAAAATAAAAAGGAATTGTCCTAAAAAGAAATCATCCTTGGCGAACATCAACAGAAGACAAAAGGGACATGAAGTCCCTGATTATCTACTCCATAGAGTAAGGCAACAATTGTTAGGGCCTGGAAAACTTTAACAGTAGGTTCTATCCATCATCTCCCCACCGGAAAAAAAATTAAGAAACTTATAAGAAGCAACTGAATGTCCAATTTTAAGGAATATAACTTTTAGCAATGCCTACAAGAAGACATGGATGAAAATATACTTCTAGGCAGTTCAATATAGGTGGAGAATCTGCCAACAGTTTTAGAGTAGTTGGTTTCAGCCATTCTTTTCTGATAGCAGGACCACTATCTTCATTATGTATAATTTGAATAAGATCTAGGAATGCTATTTGATTCTCCCCTTTCCCTTTTTTTCCAGTTTAGACTCTTATTCCCTTATTTTTCATGCCTTTCTCTAAGATGGCAAACAGGTACATTCCAGTGCCAACTGTAGGTGGCTCTTTTTAGAAGAACATTCTCCAGTTCTGTCTGTGTTCAATATAAAAGAATGTTCCAGCCAATAAGAGCTACTTAAGAAGGGCATCAAAGAGTAAAGGTCTGGTACAAAGCTCTGCAGGGCTCTCCCCTCTTCTATTACTTAGCCAGTTTGCAGTATTCAACACAACAAATATCACTGGTGGCTGGCCTGATATGGAAACAATGGGAGATAAAAACAAGTGGAACAGAGATCTTGCCCACACACGGCTTTCAATCTAGATTGCAAAGTTGGTAAGATATACTCAAATAGCCATACTATAAGGTATGGAAAGGTAGCCATACCGTCAGTATTGACAGGAGGAAAAATTCTACAAAGAAATTTAAGAGGATACTGTGTTGTCTTTTCCCTCAAGTTTCTTACTATGTTCAGCGCAACAAACTCTTAGGTGCACCTGCCAGGTGCCAGGCCCCCGTCTGAGGGGTTGGGGTACAGCAGAAATCAAGCACTGGCCTTGCCCTCAGAGAGCTGCTTCTAGCAAGAGTCATCAGAGCTTTGTAAAGGTGTCTGCCTGAGGCCAGGGACTTGGTCTTGCATTGATATGTTTTTTTTATATCCCCTCCCTCATACGGCTCCATGCACAGGAGGAGAGAAAGCAAATATTTTTTCAAGAATGGCATTAACATTGAGACACAGCAGCTGGAAATTGGCAGGGTGCCCTCAGAAGGTTGGGAAAGCGATTTATTTTTCCAACCTCACCACAGGAACCAAAGCCCTGGCAGATGCCTCCATGTGTTAGCGGCTGCTGATCCGAGTGAGATCATTATTAATTATTAGTTACTTTTGAGTGTCTTTCTCAGAAACTACAGAGTACTTGGGAAGCCCAGACGCTCTTGAGTTGCAATCAATACTGTATACACCTTGCACAGGGACCTGAGTGGCATGTAATTATAAAACAGTATTGATTCCTGGCAAAGGGGTTCAAAATGTACAAATCCTTCACATAAAGATCAGCTAACTCTTCAAAGGGCTTGATTATTTTCCTTTCCTTAAGAAAGAGACGGATGGTTGGAGTAAGAAATTTGAAATATTAGCTAAATTAGTGCTATTTCCTGCCAGGATCCAGATCTGTACACATAATTATTTTATTCTCTGTGCTGGCACTGATTCACTTTGGTTGAGTATTGGAAATGTCTCTGTTTTGGGTCTGTAATCCAAATTATTCAGTCAGTGCCTATGCTGATGTTTTCTACTCGCATCTTCCTGTATTATTTTTCTGTAAAACAAATACTTGCATGTCTGGGACTTGCCTCATGCTGGTACCCACCCCACTCCTACTTTTCCTGCTCTTCTCTATCCCATCGTCCACTGTGCCCCTTGGCCGGGGACTTCACCTGCCCTCCTACAACCTGTCGTCACCAAATCCTGCCTATTTTATTTTGGCCTAATTCTAATTTCTGTTTCTAAATTGGTGTCCACTGAAGTCCTATTAGAATGACCAGCAACCTGTATAGTTGTTAGTCTTTATTCCTCTTGGCTGTGTCTCCATCCTCAGCAGTGATTATAAACATGGACTCTCATCCCGCCTTTGCTGAAATCATCGATGCCCTATCATTTTATACCTAGATCCACAGAATGGCCTTGCACTGCTTTTCAGCTTCTAGTCTTGCCCCTTTTCATGGATGATGGGGAGGCCTTTTGAAAATGCAAGTCTGATCAAGTCATTTGGCTGCATGAAGTCCTCCAATAGCTCTCCTTCGCCTGCAATCCAAGATGGAAAAATCATTGTTGATCTGGAAGTGACAGAAACTGAGTCTTAAGAGACGCAGCTTATCTCCCAAGACTCAGAGGTTATTGGAAGACAGCAGGTCCGGAGGATTGCTGCAGGAGCTCCATCGGGAAGGTTTCCACATGGGCTTCTCTGGCATTCTGAATATCTGTGGTTGGTTTAGCTGGGGCTGAGACACAGAACTTGTGTAAAAAACTATCTCCCTGGTTGTGTAGAGCTAACTTATCAGTGTGAGACAGTCACAATTTATTCCACTCTGGGTACCTCATGTTTCCTAAGCTATGCAATGAAGTCTTGTTGAGAATGTGACAAGGAAATGGTCCCCCTGGTATGTCCCCTCTGAACTTCATATATGAGGAAAAAGAAATCCCAAAGCCAATAAAGGATCTGACACAAAGGGCCAGCCGCCTCTCTCAAAAGGTGCACTAATGCCATGATGTATGGGAAAAGACTTGGTAATATGTGACAATCCTGTGCCTTGCACAGGATGTTTGGCATCACTAGCCTCTCATGGTAAATGCCAGTCATGCTCCTCAGTCATCAGAACCAGCAAAAATACTCCTCACATGTCCTTAGATAGTTGCAAATGCTCCAGAGAGGGGTAATGGCACTGCTCCTACTTGAGAACCACTGGCTCCTGTAACTGCTTGGCCTAGTTCTAACTTCTAAAATGTTCTCCTTTCCTGAGAGTATAATGAAGAGCCAGATACTTTGTGATCTTTCTATCATTCCTCTGGCTTCTTGGACTTCCTTAATGATTGAGCTCAGATGCTGGAGTCACATCGTCTGGCTATGAAATCAAGCTCTGCCATTTACTGGGTGTGACCTTGAACAATTACTTAATCTCTCCGTACCTCAGTTTTCTCAGATAAAATGGAGATAATAGTGACATCCACTTATTTTTGTGAAGATGAAATGAAATAAAGCATGTAAGCTGTTTATCACACTGTCCACTGTTGGAGGCATGGTAATTGTATGAGGTGATGACGATGATTGACGATGACGATGATGATGATGATGGCTCCCAAGCATAAGGGTCTTATTCGAGCAAGAACTTGAAATTGACACTTAATAATGAATACTCCAGAAAACACAGACAGGCAGCATGATATATGAGAAAAGGTAGCAGACTAGGTGGGAGTCAGTAAATCCTAAAGCACCCTCTGCCATCAATTCTGTATGGCTTTGAATATGTCACTTCACCGCTCTGATTTTTACATATCTATGAAATTTTTGTGTTACATGGTGTTAAACAGATTGAATGACTTAAGCATTGTGAAGTAATTTCATAAACAACTTGATGATATGTAATAAATAACCTGTTTTGCATTGGTGTTTTCTACGCCTGACTTGAAAACCCTCACCAGCTGTGGGGAGAACACACTTAACAGGAACGTCTTGGTGAGAGTCTACTTACATGGTAAATGGAAGTATGTTATGCGTGACACTGAATCTCTCTCTCTCACCCGCTCCCTGCCAGTGTACCCTCCAACAGCCCCGGAGAGAAGAACCTTGGAGCATTTAGGCATATCTCATTAAAAGTTCATGTCTGGGGTTCAACAGCTTTTCCTGCTGGCTCCCTGACACCCCCCACCGGGGCCTGTTGCCTTCATGGTTGTCTGCTTGTTGCCCCACAGCAACAAAGGCGAGAGAAGGAGCTGCGGAAGCAGCAGGAGAGGGAGCAGCGCCGGCACTATGAGGAGCAGATGCGCCGGGAGGAGGAGAGGAGGCGTGCGGAGCATGAACAGGTACAGCTGGGACCAGGAGCCCCACTGATGGCCCCCCGGGGACCCCAGCACCAGCCTTCTCTGGGGTGTGGGTCACCTTTTCTGAGGAATGCTCAGTTTACATGGGTTTTTACTCTTCCTCAAGCAATTATGCTCACCTATTCAAGAAGTCAAATGTACAACCTTGGCAATGCCCACCTATTCAGCCTTGCTTTCTACCCAGACAGAGTTCCCTGACATACCCGGATCTTCCGATTCTCCCAACCCTCGGTATCTGATTTGAAGGTAGCACTGAAGCATGAAAAATCAGCCAAGTCCCACTCTTTCACTGCTTCAGAAGAGCTTTTCTACTCATGCCATCTCTGGTCTTTATGACTTTGAGTCATTGATGCAGGCCCATCTCTCTTTGCTAGAATCACATTCTTACAGCATAGTGAAACTCTGCAGGATGGTTCCATTACAAAGACAGTGCACGATGGCATTCAACAGTTGTCTTATTCCTGCTGCTTGCACAGGAGCCTCTGAACTTTATAGCATTGTTAATTCCAGGTAGTCCATAAAGAGAGGAACCTGTAATGAAAAGCTTTAACATGTAGCTGGGCTTATTAAAACCAAGTAGTAGCAGTAAAATGCCGAGACATCGCAGTCAGCTGTTGCAGGTAGAGGGGCTTGTGCTTTTCATTATGTTGAAATGCATTTGCTTCCATGTGACATACTCTTCCTGCTTTGTAAGAAGGTATTTGGGTATTTTTCCCCTCCTTCCTTCTACACTTTACTTAGCGGCTCTTGTCGCCTTTGAAATTACTGGTTCATTTCTCTCTTTCTTTCTGTTCCTCTGAATTCTCTGCTGCCTACCTCTCCAGGAATACATCAGGCGACAGTTAGAGGAGGAGCAGAGACAGTTAGAGATCTTGCAGCAGCAGCTACTGCATGAACAAGCTCTACTTCTGGTAATGAGAAAGCCAAGAACCAGCTGACCTGCTCTGTGTTCATCTTGCAAGTGTTTGTGTGTGTGTGTGTGTGTGTGTGTGTGTGTGTGTGCGCGCGTGCGTGTGTCCTTCTAACATACCAGTCCAGAAGAGGGGATCTTCTAAGCCTCAGGGACCTCAAAAACCTCATAGAAACTTAATACATTTTCTGATTGATTTTGCTGAGTCCTAATATATTTAATACAGTTGTTATGCATTCTTTATTAACTCCATTTATTTGTACAACTTGAATATAAATCCAGCCTTATTATAAGTACAAACTGCTTTTGAGACCTACTGTGTTTATTGCAGAGTAATTTTTAAGGCCATTTGCGACATGCTGGAATACAATCACAGCAAAATGCACCTCTCCCATAAGAACCCATCAGCTCTACAGTCATATTTCATTTACAGACTATTAGCTTTACCCTTACGATGGGAACATTTTGTGTCCCTTGCTCATGCAGCTTCCACTTGAAGTACAGTACTTTTTTATTATTATAGCACTGCTCTCCAGATGGGCTTTTTGGTGTATTTTTTAAAACTGAACTTTTTATTTAATGGCATTCTGATGTTTTTTAGCCTGTACATAAGCTTGCTAATGGCCTTTGTAGGTCCAAGTTTTATTAAATGAAAGATGATTTAGGCACTATCTTTGGCTGCTTAGTTTGTACTTAATTGTACATGTTTGAGTGGTTTAATTACTAGATCAGGAAGTGGGTGACTTTTTCTAGGAGTTGTATGCCGACCATTTAAATGTCCTCATTATTGCCATTTTGTCACTTGTAATTCATCAGGGACAAGTCATTTTGTAATTGATGGGGTTCGGTAGGGATTGCCATTTTAAAGCAATAGCGTTTTCATTAAATGACACATTCTTGTGTAGATACTAACACAAGGCAGTAGCTTATTTCTGTGGCACATCCTGACATCCTTCTGTCATTCTGTTGGTATTAAGATCCTTTGTTATTTAGCATTATTTTGCCTCCATTGCATGCTTATCTGGTACTGGCCGATGATTTCTATGTGATAATTTGGCCTTTTCTTTGCTCCTCTTTCCTGATCTGGACAGGAATATAAGCGCAAACAATTGGAAGAACAGAGACAAGCAGAAAGACTGCAGAGGCAGCTAAAGCAAGAAAGAGACTACTTAGTTTCCCTTCAGCATCAGCGGCAGGAGCAGAGGCCTGTGGAGAAGAAGCCACTGTACCATTACAAAGAAGGAATGAGTCCTAGTGAGAAGCCAGCATGGGCCAAGGAGGTAAGTAAGCAAGGGTAGCCTCACCCTGTTGGCCAGGCTTTTGACTCTAATGAGTTTGTGTGATAGAAGTGGAGAGTTAACCCAGTGCTGCAAAGTTGGAAAACAATTCATCATAAGACACATGCTTTGCTTTTGCAAGAACTATAACATTATTTCTGTAGAGAAATGGCAAGATACCTTCCTTCATTTGTGAGGTTTTGTTTTTGTTTTTTTTTTTTTTTTGTATATCTTTGTGGTTGCAATGGACTTTTATAGGAAATAACAGAAGATAGAAAAAACCTTTTTTCTGTTACTCATCCAATTGAATTTGTGGCATGGAGGATTTTTAGTGACCTTTTTGTTGAATAATGTGATTAAGGATTTATAGAATTCTAGGAAGAATCAGTTCCTGTCCATGCCTGGACCCTGTTGCTGATCATTAACATTGTCACTAACATAACTTTGTTCACTGTGATACTACCAGCAGATGCACAGTTGACCTCAGACTTGTGGTGGTGGTATTCACTTTTAAGATCAGAGGTCATTAGTGTTTCTTCTACACATACTTCCTTCATTTGCTTAACTACTAGACTAAGAAAGGATTTTCAGGAACTTAGCACTATGTTGAGCTATTTTAATAAAAACTGCTTGGATGGGAGGGAAAAAAGGGTGATAGCCAGACAGGTAAAGCAAACAAACAAAATAACCCCAACCAAATCAGCAACCTTTCCAGGGAGTCACTGTGTGAGGTCATGTGCATAACACGCTGGTTTTCAGTTCAATCATTATTTCTGGCATCTAGTGATTTCCTTTATTTTATGGTGATCATAGCTGGTCATTTAAAAGGATGTTTTGGAGTTATTTTGTATTTTTATCTAGAATCTTTAGATATTGATAGCTCACGCTTTTTTCAAGTTATCTAGAATGCAATATTACTAGAACCAGATTTCTTACATAAGATCCTATTTTTATGAAAATAATTCTTTGTATTTGTCTAACCTATCTGACATATGTACAGAAAATACTTGACATAATGTTGTCCTAATGTTAATGATAGTGGTTTATGGGAGCAGAAAGTAAAAAAAAAAAAAAAAAAAAAAAAAGGATTTTTAAAAACTTTTTTGTACTTTTACATATTGTTTAAATCCTTTAGAGTGATCATGTATTTTTTTGTGAAAATAACTTTTTTCTTTTAAAAGTTAAACTAAGTGTGTGGAAAAATTGTTTTGATTTGTGATGAAGAATTTTTTATCACTTTCCCTTACATCTGTAAACATGATCCATATTTACCTATGTCTCTAACATCTGCCTCTTTCTCTTAGATCAGTAATTCAATTTTGTGATCCTACTCCCAGGTACAGCATCGACCCCTTAATAATCCACCTGTTCTTCCAGCTAAGCAAAATCACTATGCTGCTAAACAGCAGCTGACATGCTTCTTGGCTGGCAGGCATGCACCACCTTCCTCTACTGCTAAACCATTTCCTAGCCATGCCAAGTTGAAATCCTCAGCTAAGCCAGACCCACAGCTCCTGACCATGGCAGGTGTTCAGACCACTGAAAAACTAGCCTCTACAAAGCTAATGTCAGTAGCACCTGCAGGAATTAATGATTCCAGACCAAGACTCCTGCTTGAGCATCACCCATGGGAGAAAGATGGACGAGCTTGTCCTATTAGACTTGGTTTGGAAGAACAAATGAAGCCTCAGGAAGTCTTGAGGACCATAGTGAGATCTCCAAGGCACTCTCACTCCCAAGGATGTAGCCCAACTCGAGAGTTAGGATCTAAGGTCATTTGTGTGTCTTCTCCCAACGTCTCCAAAGTGACAAGCCCCGAGTTGTCCATTACTGCAATTCAGGAGGGCCTTAGAGATTCATGTAGACCTTGGGGCAGGAAGAGCATGAACTCATGCATCTTTACAAGTGCTTCTACTTTTCTAAGAAATGCTGCATCGCTAAGCGACCTCCCCTTGATGCATGACCACTTGGCTTTCAGTGTTCCCAGCCCCAAGCATGAGTTTAGGAGAGGGACACCTACAGATCCCATTGGAAAAGATCATTATGTTGTGCAAACCATTCCAGAATTTCTTCTTTCCCCTAGACAGCTCCCTCATGCACAAATGTACCAGAAGAGGGGGAAAAGCATGAAACAGTTTTCACCTCCTTCATTCAGCCTCTACCCAGCACCTTGTGATTTGAACTTGTCTACCTTGACTTCACTGTTTTCCAGTTGCTATTTGTCCTCATCACTAAATTTACTGGTCTGTCCTCTCTATTCAGAACTAGTTCATAGCTCCCAAGCTTTCAGGAGACATGGCATTCCTGGGGGCAGATCTTTGCAGATGTCATCAAGGCACTTTTCTAGACCTCTTAATTCCCTCATGCTTCCTGGTCAGGCTCCTAGCAGTAAAAGAAACACAGCATTTGAGCATGCAAACAACATGCCTGAGTCATCAAGCACTCCTGATGTGAGGTTTCCCAGTCACCATAAGTCTGGGCCATCTCTGGTGGGTGACATCTTCCAAGGTCCCTGGCTTCCTGGCATCTGGTGTGCTTCCTTTGGGCTTCACGCATTTCCACAGATATATGGGAACATTCTTTGGGGATTTCATATTTAGTCCTCTGCTCCTGGGTGTGGTTAACATAATCCAGCTTCCAACTAACCGTTGTCTGTTCATGAAACAGTTCCCAAGTCTTAGAGTGGGTGATCATATTTTAGAAGAAAGATGAAACATTTAGTTGATAGAAGGAGAGTGACAGTGCTAAATTTAGGACTGGAGCAATCGATGTACAAATAAGAACAAATAATTGTCTGCCTTGGTTTGAGTCATCATTTTTAACACCCACTTCTTAGTAGGAATAAAAATCAGTGCAAGGATCTTTACATTCTTGATCTTTTAATGCTTCTCATCAGCAGTGTATGAACTTTTTATGTAAAGCATTATTTACAGATGTCTTTTCTCATATTAGGAAGGCAGGGGCTCAAAGTGACCAAGTAGTAATACACGTTTCAAAACTTTAAATATGAACATAGCTTATCAGTATCTTAACTATCAAGTTATAAGAAAACCTGGGTTAAACCCTCTGGAAGTAAAATAAAAGGATGCCATTTTCTTTTTTTCAAATGCACCCTCTGTGCCCATGCCACCGTCTCCTGTTGTGTAGGGTCTGGACTATTTTGCCCCATGTGCCACTGAAGGTATCACCTAGCTCTCTTCCACCTACTGCAACCTCTTCTGTAATCTGTTCCAGCATTTGTTTTGTAACTCAGCTCTATGCCGTCTCATCAAGTTTTTTTTTCTTCTTCTTTGCTTACTTTTCCATCTACTTCTCCTCTTCCTCATTCCAAATCGATAGTCCTTTATCAGCAATGTAATGCTCTTATACTGCTTTGTTCTCTCTGTTCTTGTTTCTTCATTTTGTAAAACACAAGTGATCACTGCATTTCTGAGTACCTTTCTGATTAATATGTTGGATATTGTAGAGCAAGTGAAAATGCTCAGTCATTTGCAAATCTTGTTGAGCTCTTCTCTCCCTCCTTTTACTGAGTATTCTTTCTGTCCTGGATGTCACATTGGCCTTGATTTAAAAGAATATGAATGTCTCTGCATTAAAAAGACAGCTTGGAGCCAGGCACGGTGGCTCACGTCTATAATCCCAGCACTTTGGGAGGCAAAAGCAGGAGGATCTCTGGAACCCAGGAGTAGTTAGAGACCAGCCTGGGCAACACAGTGAAACCGTGTCTCTACAGATAATAATAAAAATTAGCTGGGCATGGTGGTGCATGCCTATGGTCCCAGCTACACCAAAGGCTGAGGGTGGGACTTGAGCCTGGGAGGTTGAGACTGCAGTGAGTCATGATTGCACCACTGCACTCCAGCCTGGGCAAAGAGTGAGACCCTGTTTCAAATAAATACATAAATAAATAGACAGGTTGGGGGCATTCTCACTGCTTTCAAATTATCTGCCATTTCTGAGTTGAGATGGATGTCAGGTATGTACTGTGAAAATATCAGTATGATGTTCTGTTGAACATCGGCAGAATTTGAAGGTCTTCTTCCTCACTTTTTGGATGATGGAGATTCCTTTTTCTTTCTTCTGCTCCTTAAATGGCATGTGATTTTCTGGGCCTGGCAATAACTGTGTGGGCTCCCCTTCCTTTTCCATCCCACATACTTAAAAAAAAAATTGTACCAAAGCTCAGCAGTGAAAGAATGCTTTGTTTACATGAGTATTGCATGAGATTGTATTTTAATTTTTTTAGCACTCCATCGTGTTCTCTTTCTGTGATATATGCCAGTCCTGGAGTGTTTGTTTGCAAACATCAATCTGATAAGGGCCAAAATATCTCTTTATTTCCATTAGTTCACTGGACTTTGAAATCACTGTGTATAAAAACTCCTTCTCCATCCGGATTTCTCTGCTCTATACCTAAGTGATTTCTTTTTCCTTTTATATTAGTTAGTTTATATATAAAGTTCCCAAACTAGCATTTAGAGAGTTTATATCTTTCCTCCATTTCTGCATATCTCTCTTATGATTAAATATAGGAGAGACCTGGAAGGAAATAGTAAGGAGTATGTTTGAGTTCAAGTTCTTCCACTTCCTGCCTGCCTGACCTAGGGCGTGTCTCCTGCCTTCCTGAGATGCAGCTTCCTCATCCGCACATCTGCCTCACAATTGGGAAGCTCATGGGCAATAATGAATATGCACGTGCCATTTAAAGTTACATACTACACAAATTCAAATGAAATATGGTATTCAACATATTCCTATTTTGTTTCCAAGACTGTTGTAGCTCATGAGGAACAAGTGTTCTGTCTCTTGTTTTGGTCTGGATTTCATATGACCAATTCACTGGCGTCGCCTATCTCTTCACCCACCTCTCCCAGGTGATAGATAAGCACTTCTTTATTTCCTATATCAACTTTCTAAGATTTTGCTTCATTACTTTTAAGTATGTGCTCCATTCACACAGGGATCTATACGTTTTTCTGGAATATTAGTAAGAAGTTGATCTGGGAAAATAGTCCAGGCCCTTAGAGTCAGACAAGATTGCATCTTAAGCATTCCTTATGAATGAGAGTCTCCCCCGTTCTCAGAGGTGACCCGGAGCAGGGGCATCCTCAAACTTGCTCAGTAACCATCTGCCCATGTGGTTTTGCCCAACGATATTACTCAGCTCTTTATGTGACTAGTGAGTACAGGGTCAAAGTATCTAAGGAGCACTTAAAAGTTACTTACTGGCTTCTTTCTCTTTCTCCAGCATTGCCAATAAACACAAAAACCAAACTGTTTTGTCCAGTTGGGGAAAAAAAGAGAATACCCATATGATTGTGTTGAATTCACCATGTATTAATTCTTAAGTAAAGCCTTCTGAGACCTTCCTAAACCCCGTGGACTCTACATATTATAAAATATTATTAGAATGCACCCATATGACATAGTAAATATATATTTGCTGTCAACAGTTTTAAAATTACTTCTATAAATGTTTTGAAATTCTCAGTAGATGTTATTCATTATTGTAAAGTGAGACACTGTAACCTACAAATTGTTTTAAAATATAAAAAACAATTTGACAATTGACATTGATACAGTGTTTCTCTTTATTATGTTTTAACTTTTTAAAAAATTTATTTTGAAATTGTTTTGGAAATCCTGAAATTAACAAATTTATTTTTAAGTTGTCTATATTTGTATAGCCTTTATATATAGCAGAGGCCATAGACATTACTCCTATCCTAGGCAGTGGATAACACAGACCTGTCTAGAGCAGAATTTTATTTCTGAGACCACAGTTATTTTTTTTCTCTCTATATAATGCTATAGTAAATAGTATAGCATTTTTGCAGAGGTGATCCAAACTTCTCCAAAGTTATTTTAGTTTTCATGTTGAAACGATTTTTTAATAAGAAAAAAATACTTTTATAGTGAAGTTGATCAGTCTGTGCTAACCTTCTCTGTATTTCTGATAATTCCTTCTACTGTGAAATCATTTATAACAGGTATCTTTTGTTGTTATGGTCTAGCACCTTCACACTCCATACCTGATGGTACTGGAACACTTTCTAATTGGTGCTCCTGGCATTTTATGTCTTCTTGGAAGCAGGCAGTTGGAGCAGAAACTTGGCTCCTAGACTTTTTTGAACATCCTCAGGCATTGAAACATATCTTGTTGTTCCCAGTTTTTAATCACATGTATCTTTCTTCTAGATGGGAGAGGTTTTGGAGGGAGACTTTCTTTTTTTGTCTCACATATTTATCTCCTGTTCAGTCAGCAGACATAAGTTGTGATAAACCAGGGAACAGGCCTTTGTCTAGTATGAAAATAATGAAAAGGGCCTGCCTAGATACCCCATCCAGCTTTCTCTCTGTCCATCTGAAGGTATTATTAGGAGAAGTGCCACTTCCAATGTTTGATTTGATCCTTTGCTCCAGTTCTTAAGGTGATTCTGCAGTGTAAAGACACTTGGGCGGCATTATCTTCCTAAAGACTTCAGGACTAGGTTTTCTTGAGACAAAGTACGTAATGAGATGCCTCATCGTTACACCCTTTTCTTAGATTTTCAATTTTCTTTGGACAAACTTCAACCCAGGAAATTTCAGTACACTGGAGCCTTCCTGAAATAATTTTCAAAGTGTAACAATTACTTATGCCATATATTTTTAGAATGGTACCGACTGAAATATACTAATGATAGAATTTAATATGTAAACTGTTAGAAAGCATAAGAAATTTTTACTAGAAGTACATTAGCAACATCTATACATGACTAATCAAATCCATTCATTGCCTGTGAAAACCAGTACCCTAGTTTCTGCCCTGTTCATTTCTTTTTTTTTTTTTTTTTTTTTTTTTTTTTTTTTTTTTGAGACGGAGTCTCGCTCTGTCGCCCAGGCTGGAGTGCAGTGGCGCGATCTCGGCTCACTGCAAGCTCCGCCTCCCGGGTTCACGCCATTCTCCTGCCTCAGCCTCCCGAGTAGCTGGGACTACCGGCGCCCGCTACCACGCCCGGCTAATTTTTTGTATTTTTAGTAGAGACGGGGTTTCACCGTGTTAGCCAGGATGGTCTCGATCTCCTGACCTCGTGATCCGCCCGCCTCGGCCTCCCAATGCCCTGTTAATTTCTAATGATAGCTTTAGGGCCCCCTGTGGCCTGTGATCCTATTAGCAGCAGGGATGCTTAGACTGGGGCCTTGTTGCTGACACTTCCCAAAAGAATTCTTTCTTTATCTCAAAAATGGTTTCTTTGCCCAAGATAGAGTCTTTGGGGGCAAACTTTTCTACTATTGTTTTTAATGTGCTGTCCCTTAATGTACATTTAAAGCTATCAGTGTATTTTAGAGCCAAAAATAATAATTACAAGTATTCCTCACTCTGCATATATTTTGTTCCTGAATTTTGGGTGACAAGTGGTTTGGATAGTGGGAATTCAGACACTGAAGGATGCTTATGTATGACTTATCTATTAATGATCTACCCTGAAAATAAGAAAATGGATAATATTTGACCAATTCCAGTGGTCTAGAAATATTAACCTTCTTTCAAAGAGTCTGGCATTTGGAAAAGTGATATATTGCATGCCTTGATCTCAGTTTATCTATTGCTGTCTTTGTGGGACTTTTTCTTCTTTGTGGTCTTATCTCAAAGCTGGCTTTGTTCTTTTGCTCAATGCAATAGCCAAATAATTATTGCTGATGTAATACTTCGCACACATGCACACACAAAGTACACATGTTCTGGTTTATATTCCTGGCTTTTTGCAGCAAATCTCATTTGGTGTGTGGTAAGCTTCTGGGACACGGGATTTCAAAACCAAAGCCAATTGTATGTACCCTGCACAGCCATGGTGGGGGAAGAGATGTTCAAATTACTCCTCACTAGAGGCAGGAGGGCTGTTTTTCATTCTGTAGCTTATCTTATTGTGTTAAAATATGTGAGGTTAGTATGAGTTTAAAAACAGACTTACTTTGTATATTTGATTGAGTCTGCCTCTAGAAAGATTCAAAATGGGATAGGGAGGATGGGGGAAAATAGCTCTTTCAAGTTTTTATTTCAAATCAGGCAGTAAAATGAATAAAGACTTTTAGCTGCTACATAAAAAATATGCAAACAGACATGAATATTGAACATCTGCACGTGGGTTCTTAAAATGCTCAGTGAGTCAGCAGAAGAGAATTAAGGGCTCACTGTAAAGGCCATCAGTGTGGGGAGAATGGTTGCATTGTCCTGGTGGCTTTGGGAAGCACAACAGTCAAGTTGGTCCTGAAGAAATAAAGGACAGGACACAGTAGATCTGGAAGAAAAGTCATAGGCTTCTTGAAGTTGTCTAAGATCTTAAGCCATATCTTAGAGTGCGCACCTTGTTTATCTAAGTTTCTCTTTAAAATT